>NC_000004.12:111648653-111800168 GCF_000001405.40 Homo sapiens
TGAAAACGCCCTGAGCAGTAATAAAACTTCGCCATTTTGGGGAGGGCCTCAAGAGGCTATCTTATCAATCTTGGTCGTTGGAAAAGTATCTGTAATCTCAAAGAAAACTTTAAATACTGTCCAAGGAAAATATCCAAATACATCTTAAAATGCCACTGTTTTTTATTCTTTTGCCTTCAGTGAAAGTATCTTTGCCCATCCTTTCACATGGGAAAAATCCATTTAGAATTAGAATGTTATTGTTTACAGATTTGTTCTACATTATTAACATAACCTAATAAAATATCCTAACAACTAGTTAAAACATAATTATAATGTACTAAACATCTTAGGTTGCTTTGTAGAAAAAATCTCTCTCATATATTTGGAATATTTGAGCTTATTTAATTAAGTTTAAACCCATACAGTTTTATTTCAGAAAACCTATCTCACTGAGTAGTGCTGATAAATTAATAGGCAATTATTTGGCTATTATGTCTACACAACTTTTCGGATCATTAAATGAAACTAAATCATAAAGATTTAAATGGAAAAGAGAATGACATGACAACCAAAGAAAAAAAAAAAACAACAAGAAGAGTAAAGGAAAGTGGTTGAAGAAAGAGAGAAATGGGGAAGTAGTTGGTAAGCACCTGAGGAAGGAAAGAAGGCAGACTGACGGAGAAATGGAGTGAGTGAACCTCTCTAACCATAGGTATTTTTCTTCATAGGATTTAATCTACTCAATGAACAATTTTGACCGCTCTGGAAATAAACAAATGCTATCCTAACTCCTCTTTGCTGTAGCTTAATCTGCCTGAGAAGAGAGTAAACAGGAAATGGTCTGGGAGTCCCCAGATACTTTTCCCCAGTTTTGAGGTTGACATCTGCAGTGCAATGAAGGCATTGCAGACACCCTCAGTAGAAAGTAGGGTGTAACAGTACATTGATAGCAATTTTTTGACACTTACAAAACGTTAGTATACATAGAAATGCTGACTCCCACTAAAGAGCTAGCAGTGGTCCAGTTTTGTTACTTTTTGGAACTTAATGATAAAAAAAAAAAAACAGGTGTTTTTTCTATGGCTTGACAGGTCTTTATCAATAGGTCACTGGGCAAGGACCATGTCCATTGAGGTACTGTGAAAGATATATATTTACATACATCTCAATTGTGGCAATGTTTTTCTGATATTCAGAATTCTAATCAGAACCAGCATAACTCTTGTCAGTGTCAGAAGTTATGGGATAGGAATGAAGAAGGGAGAGTGTTGAGGGTAGGAGGTGAAGGGTGTGGAGACTAAACAGATCTTCTCCAAAGTGTATTTTGTGGAACAGGAAACTACATACGGATACTCTCTCTCTCTGCAAAACATTTTTGATCAAATAAGTTTAAGAAACTTTGGAGATTAAAAATATACATTAGCATACAGTAAGTACACATGTGACAATACTCAAAAAAAAGGTTCTGAAAACTCCCCAAAATACAGCATTTCCCAAACAATTCTGTCCAGTGGCTTTGTTGATAATATTTGGAAGCATTGCTGTTAAAGATTGCAGTTTGGTCTATGGGAGCCACATATGACTTTATGTCAACAAAAAGCAGGGCAAAATATGTCACACTGCTTAGAAGTCACCTTAATAGAAGAGAGCTCTTCACATATTTTAGCCCTAATTTTGCAAATGTAAATGCCTGGGAATTCCTGCATACTAAGGACGTCTGCATTGTCTTTAGTGTTCCTTCACTAAGTGGTCCTCAAGTCTGGCTGCACACTAGAATTCCCCTGGGGGTCTTTTTAAACATAAAAAGAGATTCCGATTTATTTGATTTGGGCTGGGACCTGACTATCAGCATTTCGAAAAGTTCTCCTGCAATTCTAGTGCTGTCAGGGTGAGAATCACAAATGTAAAAACAAATTGCGGGAATACATTTTGAGGCCAATGAAAATGTTTAGCTGATAACTAGAAGCTTTTGATCAGCCTGGTAGGCTGTGGTACGGCCTTTTGTAAAAGGTATTTGCAAATGATAGCAGCTTAGAAATCCTTTCATTCAATGCTAGCTCACCATCAGCCTTGTTCTCTTCCCTCCTAATCTTTTTTGTTTTGCTTTATGTTAGCCCTCTTGTTATGGTCTCTCCCCACACCCCACCCCATGCCTTATAGAAGAGTATTAGTGTTGTCTCCCTCTCCTTGCTGTGAGGAATCACTCACAGATGAAAACAGCTTCAGTGGTCATGCAGCTGAGGATAATTGGATTTGGTATCACCAACTGTCTAAATGCATACAGGCCAATATAAGCTGCTTCACTCTCAGCTACACTTGGGAGGCCAAAAATAGTAATTATCACAGCAGAGAATCTTATACTATTGCACATGGAGCCAACAGCCCCTCCCATTCTCACAGCACGCTACCTTTTATGGGCAATTTGCTCTCCTCCTAATTGGACATTTAGGTGGCACACAACAGCCCAGTCTCTTGTCTCAACTTGTGCAGGCTTTTTTAATTTACACACATAGTTTGCACTGGCATCTAACTTTCTTTTATTATTGTCAAACGATATCTGACTTTTTTCTTCATGCAACAACTTAACGTAAGTGTGGATTAGAGTGTCAACTCCCAACAATAAGAAACGTAGGACTGGTTTTTATCTCCTTTTTGGAGGGAGTGAGGGGAGGGCTGCTGTGCAGACAGTGTGCACTGCTGGTTTAGAGAAAATCTTTAGAGAGTCATTTTTCATTTTCCCCAGATAGTTCTGCAAACACAAAACACTGAAAATAAAACACAAAAGCTAGTATCTATTGAATGCATATGTGAGAAGGAAGACGTGAAGGGAAGTGAAGGAGAGAGAAAGGGAGTGAAGTCTGAAGGAAGGATAGGGAGAAAAGAGAAAGGTTGGCATTTGGGATGAAATGTGGAGAGCTCAGATGCCTTTACCTGAAATCCTGTTACTGAATAACTTCATAAATGCTCTTTTTAAGTTCGTGAAACCTATAGTCTGACAATTTTGCTCAAATACTGATAAAGTGATTTATTTAAAAGTGCTTCTTTCCAGAAAATCCACAAAATGGAGTCAAATGGTCTCTTCTCCACTCCCACCATCAATTTTTGTTATCTGTATCAGCAAGGGAATGATGTTTATGGTTTCTTTTCAGTCTCAACTGCATAAAGAAGAAATCTGTTTTTCATCAAGCACTCATTGACTTTTTAAAAAATACGATAGCAGAAAAAGATCAAAATATATAAAGTGAGATAACTTCTTTAAATAAGGAAATCATCTCCATATAGAAAAATTAATCAAACTGAACCGAATACCCAAATCAAAGGGGTTGAAAGGATGTAATCATCTGTTCTCACATCTCAGCATGACTAACTGGACCAACTGACATATTTCAGAACAGGATCTCTAAGAGTCTCTTGAATTTCTGGTATTGGCCTCTGAGCAAAGAAAAAGAGCTCAATATGGTTTTCTACACTTCTTTTACATACTGAAAAATCTCTTTCCATATAGTTACATCATGTTATTGCACCCCATGTACTTGATCATTCTTCTATATTTCATACTTTATTCAATTAGCATGCCAAACCAATTTATGTATCCAAGAAACACAGAAAAGTTCTATGGAACATCCTAATATTACAAATCCAATGAGAAAGGATTCTGGAACTAAGGCTTACTTTCTTAGCAGGCATTTAATCCTCAGGGAGAGCGAGCCTGGGTAGCCCTGTGAAGGGTAACGGTTCCCTCAGGCAGTATTTCTGCACCTCAGCAAAGTGCTTGAAATAGAATTTTTTTCCTTCTTAGACTTGGATGAGTCAGATGACTATTTTAATGAAGTGATGAGCTGTAGTGAGCTAATATGACTATAATGTATAATGTCATTTGGAGCACTAGTGATCTTTGAAAGAACACCACAGGAGACGACCCCCAAGTGCGGATCTAGCCATGCTGTTCATTCTCACCGTATCCTGACTTACAGCTCATCTGTTTGTCAATTGAACAGACTCTATTTTCTTATGTTTTCTCAAAAGAAACAATAAACATTATCTATTCTCCCTTTATTTACCCCCTTACTTCTCACTGACCTTAACTGGTGTGAACCCCCAAAATTTGAGACAGGCCTCAGTTAATTTAGAAAGCTTATTTTGCCAAGGTTGAGGACGCACACTCATGACACAGCCTCAGGAGGTCTTGATGACATGTGCCCAAGGTGGTCGGGGCACAGCTTGGTTTTACACATTTTAGGGAGACATGAAACATCAATCAGTATATGTAAGAACCAAGAACATTGGTTCAGTCCAGAAAGGTGGGGACAACTCAAAGCAGGGAGGGGGCTTCCAGGTCACAGGTAGGTGACAGACAAATGGTTGCATTCTTTTGAGTTTCTGATAAGCCTTTCCAAAGGAGGCAATCAGATATGCATTTATCTCAGTGAGCAGAGTGGTGACTTTGAAGAGAATGTGGAGCCTAAGGTCATTTCTACCAGCCAATAATGTGTGGCCAGGTTTTGGATGCTGGAAAACAGACAGGGACATCAGGAAATGGATACACATTAAGAGTTCCCGCACAGGGAATTAACAAGATAAAACTTGCTTTTCAGTGAATAACCTAAGAGTCATATTTAAATTATAATACAATAATGGGTACAAAAAGTACTTGAAAAGAATAAGTAAGATCTAGTATTTGACAGCACAACGGGGGGACTATGGTCAATGACAATTTAACTGTACACTTTAAAATAACTGAAAGGGTGTAACTGGATTATTTGTAACACAAAAGATAGATGCTTCAGGGGATGAATACCTAATTTTCCATGATGTGATTATTACACATTGCCTTTACCAAAATATCTCATGTACCCCATAAATATATACACCTACTATGAACCCACAATCTTTTAAATTAAACACATTTTTTAATTAAATAAATTAATAATAATAAAATGGAAAAAGACTGGTTTAAGAGACAGGAGCTATGAAATTTTTAGTATTGCAGCTATAAATGCAAATCTAAAATAGGGAAGGGAGGAGAGGGGGTGAATTAGGCTGATCTTTAAGTGAAAAATAACCTGAGAAATTAGAATATGACTGGATCTAAATAATGTGAGGCATAAATACTTCAAAACTGACTGCAAAAACAAAGGCCTTCAAAATTGAATGATTTTGTTACCAGAAATAGAGAAGTTTAAACAGACAGACAATTTGCTAGGAAGATAAATTTGATTTTAGACATTCTGGGTTTGAAATAAAGACAAAATATACAAATAAATCTAACAGCTGCCAGTAATTTCACAGTGATACTTCCATGAGAAATCAGGGCTGGAGCTGAATATGGCGTCAAAGGTAAAGGTGATATATATGAGGCTATGAGTGGGTGAGTAGTCCCAAAACTGAATACAGAGGAACTTTTACAGGGTAGAGATGCTGGAGGAGCAGGGAAAAATAAGATGCTGGATGCAATGGAAAATGAGAGTGCAGAATTAGGCAAGTCAGAGAAAGAGCGACCACAGGGAAAGGTAACATGGTGTGTTGATTTGGGTTCAGGATTTACTATTTTTAAATTTCATGAACCTTCCCTGGACATAATTTTTTGTATGTAAAATAAGGGTTTAGGATGAGATCAGCATTTCCCACAAGTTGTTCCACGTAAGATTTTAAAACCTACACGAAGCAAAGAAAGTGTCCTGTGTTCAGATATACTTGGGCAATGTTTGTTTAAACACAGTTAAACAGATTTTGTTTATCGCAGGACTTAGAATTTTTACAACACTGATTTGCACCATGAATCTCCAGCAAGAGAGATATAGTTTGCAGTATTTCCTAAGTTATTTAACAAAGGAACATTGTGTGTGTGTGTGTGTGTGTGTGTGTGTGTGTGTGTGTGTGTGTGTACATACCATCTTGAAGAATAGTGTTCCAGGGAACTATAAAAATACTAGACAGGGAGATTTCTAACGACTCTTCCAACTCCAGAATTTTATCAGGCTTAATTACATCATCTTATTTGTTTATTTATCTTTTTTTTTTAACAGTAATAAAGGCACAGAAATGTGATTATCGTTGTTAAATGTTGCCTTTGAATCCAGAAATATATATTTATTATTCCAAACTCTATTTCTGATCTCTATTTATCACTGATATACTACACTGTCAAAAATGACACATTAATATAGTTCTCCAAATGGGTTATGTTCTTACAAATTTAGTAGCTTTATTTCTGTCAAAAATAGGACTTTCATGCCTTTACACACTGGATAAAGCATCTACTTTTTTCCCTCAAAACTGACAGCTCCTAAGAATTATAAATTATAAATTACATAGCATTTTAAAAAGAAAAAAATCATTTTATGCTTTATTCTTTACTGTGTTTATCTCCGGCTCCAATGATGAAGAAAACAAACTACTTTTGCCTGACTCCTGCATTTAGCTGTAGTTCTCTCTCTCTGCCTGCTGCTGTTGATTCCAGACTGTACCTTCATTCTCAAAGATGCTCACACTCCTAGGCAGAACTAAAAATGTCCTTGGTTTGGCCTTACCCACTCTACAGACCAGGCTCAACTCTGGCAACCTGGCCCAAGTCAAAGTGATGGTCCCACTCAGCTGGCTCTTCCTACCTTCATTCAGAGAGATATAAATTTTTTTTTTTTTTTTTAGACGGAGTCTCGCAGTCGCCCAGGCTGGAGTGCAGTGGCGCGATCTCCTCTCACTGCAAGCTCCGCCTCCTGGGTTCACGCCATGCTCCTGCCTCAGCCGCCCCAGCAGCTGGGACTACAGGTGCCCGCCACCACGCCCGGCTAATTTTTTGTATTTTTAGTAGAGACGGGGTTTCACCGTGTTAGCCAGGATGGTCTCGATCTCCTGACCTCGTGATCCGCCCGCCTCAGCCTCCTAAAGTGCTGGGATTACAGGCGTGAGTCATCGCGCCCGGCCAAATTTGGTTATTTTTAAGCAAACTATATATATACACACACACATATATGTGTGTGTGTGTGTGTGTGTGTGTGTGTGTGTGTGTGTGTGTGTGTGTTTATAGCGAAAGGATCAAAGGATATTATTAGAGCAAATGCTAACAATAAAACTTTAGCTATTTCCTACTTCCATCACTGTTATTTTTATTTCTATTATTATGAACATGTATAATTGTATACATAGAAATTTTTTAAAGTTTGATTACCTGACTTGCTAACACTCAAAAGATTATAATAATAACAGAATGAAAGTTTGGGTGGTAGGAATAAAAATTGAGAGGCAGTTACTCTGACAGCAATGAAGTGACAATTGATATCAAGAAAGGTGATAGAAAAAAGCACACATTGAGATGAATTGCTCCATAGGAAGGGGTGTTCATTCAAAATGATGCTCTTGTGTCATCAAGAAAAGGTGAATTATAATGCTATAGTTTGTGTGTTGGATGGCATGGAAATAGATTTTATAAAATTTTAATACAGAATAAAAATAGATAAAATGGTTTGGCACACAAAGGGGTAAGGTTGAATTATTTGGAAAATGTGCATGAAATACCTCATCTTTTACTGCTGGATAAATGAGACATCAGTATAGTAAATATGTATTAAACTATATTACAGATGGCCAGATATTGTTTACTGTTTGGTTTTTATCAAAATATTATTGTTAAAGTCTGTTCAATTTAATCTGCTTATGTGAAAAACAGCAAGGACACATTTTTAATTGTGCACGTTTCAAACAGGCAGAATGGTGCCCTGGTCCATCACGGCACTGAAGGCTTGACAGCAGGGTGGGCTATCTGGCTGTCTTCTAAAAGGTCTCAGTGTCAGCGGCATTTCCTTAGTGCAATATTTTGTAAACTTTTCCAACCAAGATGTAGAAGACAATCAACAGATTTCAATAGGAGATCTGGGGAAATCTAGCAGTTTTTTAAAATTTCAAACTTACAACATTTGTTTCAGAAACTTTAAATCCCATAAACACCTTCGTTTTCCTCGCATTCAAAGCATGTAAGTTTAGCTTTAGATCTCAAGGCAGTAGCTGTAGCACCCACACAAATGTAGCTATAGAATCATAGTCACTTCACACACCTCACAAACTAAAGGAAAGATGGTTACAAATTTTTTAAAGAAAACCCAAACTATACTTATCTCCAGTTTAACGAAGAATATGAAGAGCTCTTTTCAGTCTTCTCCCAAATAGGACAATTTTATGATAGAGAAAATGACGAGTAACAATTATCACTTACAGATTTGTTGGTAGGTAGTCATGCCTCTCCCTAATTTCTCTGATGTAACCTGATCATCATCCTAAATCTGTTTTCTTATGGAGAAATGCCAGCTCATGTCACATTTATCTTTTTGGGGTAGGAGGTGTATGCTAAAAACAAAAACTTTCCCATTTAAACTTGTTTACCTCAGAAAGAAGGGTAAGTTAGCACGCCTTACAACAAGAGCACATAACTATTAGCCGACTGTCTTTGTCAGGAGAGGAAAAACCCTTGAAAGGCGAAGTAAAGTGGACTTATCATTTCAAGTTACACCTGGCATCCTACAGTCACAAAGGACAGTTAGCAAAATGTTATTTAAGAAAAGTACACTGAAAGATCCTAAGGCTCTACTAATGCTTAAAATCCCAAAGTAATTATTTCATATATAATCCAAGAAACAAAAAACACCCTATGTGCAGAAGCTTTTAATGTAGTGGCATCTTCCTGGTTTTCTGAAATTTTGAGATGAGCTTTGTCTTCTATTTTCTTCCTACAAACATTTTAAAGCCTTCCTAATCTTTTCTTTGCCCTATGATCCTTCATAAGCTGTGCTTTTAGTGCTTAAATAAGTATTCCACTTCGCTATCTAGAGATGGGCTTTTGAGCATGAATGACCTACTCTATTGGTAGATTAAGCTCAACATCTCATTTAGGGGAAAATTACACAGCAATCAAGAAATTACATAAGTGTAAATTGTTTTGAATGCACACTAGTTTTCAAAATGGCACATATAATTCTCATTATAAATAAATCACATTAAAAATATTGTTTCTGAAATCTCATTTTATTGGAACTCAGCAAAGACATGTTTGCATATTCCTATATCATGCTTAACTTTCTAATAATTTTTGTTATTCTGAAATTTATAAATGTGCAACTGTACACAATAAAGCCTCAAAAAAACTAATACTAAAATTAGGAATTGTTTTATAATTACAGTCGTGTTGCTTAACAATGGGCTTACTTTCAGAGAAATGTGTTGCCAGTTGATTTTGGCATTGTGTGAACATCATAGAGTGTACTTACACAAACCTAGATGGTAGAGCCTACTGCACACTTAGGCTATATGATCCTAGGCTACAAACCTTTACAGCGTGTTACTGGATTGAATACTGTTGGCAACTGTAACACAATGAAGAACATTTGTGTATCTAAACATATCTAAACATAGAAAAGGCAGAGTAAAAATGCAGTATTATAATCTTATGGCCCACCATTGTATATGCAGTCTGTTGTTAACCAAAACATTGTTGTGCATAATTGTATTTAACCACATTTTACATGCACAAAGAAAGGGAACATATATGTCTTCTCAGGGCAGAGTATACAGGATACACGTTTCTTGCATATTAGCATCACTGTATGTGGTTATCTACTCAGTGGGCCTGAATCAAGTCATATACAGTGGTATATAACTCTGGTGAGTTGTATCTTCTTCCTAAACCATATGAAGGAACTTTCTACTGGATTGATTGAGTAGTATTTATATAGGTCATTTGAATAGTTTTCCTGTTTTATTTGGTTTATCATTTCATTGACCCAAATCTTTTTTTTATTATTATTATACTCTGATACCATTATTCCTTCAAATTCTACCATCAACTACCTATTCCAATATTCAAACTTCAACTCTTTGGATCTCTTTCCTGTCTTGCAAAACACCCAATCTCAGCACTCTAATATTTTTCAATTAATCAATTGATATACAGAAAGTAGGAGAACTGAGGCCAGAAACAGAAGTAAAGTTAATGTAATAGTGGTAAGAGTTAAACTCAATCAGACTACTCAGTCTTTTATTCGAACTTGATTACTTCCTGTCTGTGGAGTCCTGGATGTGATGATAACCTCTGCTTCTTGAGGTTAATGTAGGGATGAAATAATGTATAAAAAGTGCTTGGCACAGTGCCTGACAGTACCTCCAAATTTTGTCATTATAGTTAACAATGTGAAGTTGTCATGTGATAGTAAGGACAGAGCTAATAATTCCAAATGCTGCCAGGTGGGTATTTTGATTTCTTAAACCTTAAAAATTTACTGGACAAGATATCTGAGTTAGTCCTCCTATAACTTTCTTTGAATTTAATTGAACAGCAGGAAAAAATTGTATTTACTATTTGCTCTGTCCTAGGTATCAGAGAATAAGTAGAGAGGAAGAAAAGGGAAATAAATAACAAGAAATGACATTTGTTAAATATTAAATAGATGTCAGGCATTATGCTTGGTATTTTAAACATTATGCCTTAGCCAAATAGATTGAGAAGTTGCCAAGCTGGCAAAAGGTAAAGGTAAAATTTAAACTAAAGTTCTTTTGACTTCAGACCATATTCTTCAAGGAGAAAGGCAAACCAAACTACTCATAAGGCAATATAGAATGTATTAAGTACTATGAGAGATTGAGGAGTGAGTGATGAATTCCTACTTGGCAGAATCGGATCAAGCAAAATAGAAGAGGTGGCACTGGAGTCGCATATTAAAATATAAGAGAAAATATCACCAAGTGATAATAAAATATCCATCTGCACTATTAAAAATGATTACTAGGTGCATTATTAAAAGCTTTATGTGTTCAACTTTCAGATAAGGATGGGAGGATGTATTTTGGCTGGATGAGCAGACTTGATTCAGAATTGAGATCCAATAAAGAAAGCTCCAAATAGTCCTGTCGACCCAGTGTTTGGTACATTGATGGAATGATGGTGATAAAACTAGAAATGCAGTTTATGGAGAACTCTTTGGAGACTAAGAAATTTGGACTTTATCCTAGAGAAAAAAATAGACTATCAGGTTGGATATTTTAGCAAAGGAGTTATGTGATCATATTTGAATTTTTAGAAAAATATGTATGTTATATGGGTAAAAGATGGATTGGAGGGGATGATTTCTAATTAAATGTAAACAAAAATAAAAACAAAAACAAGAATGTGATGGTTAATACCACATGTCAACTTGATTGGATTGAAAGATGCTGAGATAGCTGGTAAAGTGTTGTTTCTAGGGGTTTCTGTGAGGATGTTGCCAGAGGAGGTTAATATTTGAGTCAACGGTTTGGGAGAGGAAGACCTGCTCTCAGTGTGGGTGAGCACCCTCCAATTGGCTGCCAGTGTGGGTATAACCAAGCAGATAGAAGAAGGTGGAATAAGCTGGCTTGGTGAGTCTTCTGGCTTTCATCTTTCTCCCGTGCTGGATTCTTCTTTCCATTCCTCCCGCCCTTGGACAGCGGGCTCCAGCTTCTTTGGTTTTCGACTCTTGGACATACAACAGTGGTTTGCCGGGGATTCTCGGGCCGTTGGCAACAGAATGAAAGCTGCACTGTTGGCTTCCCTGCTTTTGAGGCTTTTTGACTCATAATGAGCCACTACTGGCTTCTTTCTTCCTCAGCTTGCAGATGCCTATCGTGGGAGTTCATCTTGTGATCATGTGAGCCAATTCTCCATATATATATATATCCTATTAGTTCTGTCCCTCTGGAGAACCCTAATACAATGAGATTAATTAAATATTTTAAGTAAGAAATGGAAGAAGCTTGAACTATTAAACTGGGAGTATGAATGGATCTAGGAGAGGTAGATATAAGAGGCCCTTAGAAATGGCATACTCAGAATTTGGCAAATAAATGAATATTAATACTAAGGTCAAGAGGGCAGTCTTAAAGATATTCAAGTCATGTTGCCAGCAAGTATTCAAGAACGTGCGCTATAGTTCAAGAGAGGAAACAGAGCCAGAAATAATGATAGAGGATGGAGAGATGATAGATTATTAATAGAAAGATGGAAAAAGTTCATAGTACTTTCATCATGTATTTATGATATATGTTGTAAGTGTACATAGTGTATGTAAGATAGAAGAATTATATATTCTTCCCATATGACAATGTGTGAAATTTAAAGCCACATAAGTAAGTGAAGGAAGCAAGATCTTTCATGGAAGGGACCATGGAGTAGTAAGAGAAAGCCAAAGATAGACCTTTGGGAAATTGGCTTTATAGGAGGGACAGACACAAGAAAAGGAAATACTAAAGGAGATAAGGATATTAAAACAGAGAAATCAAGAAGAGGGGAGGAGACATGGCAAGAAAGAATGTCAGGGAATCTTAAGGAGAAGACTCTAACAAAGCAGAAGCAGCCATCAGTGAAAACACAATAGTAAGGTAAAGAAAGAAGTCTTTAAGAGACTCGGATCATGTTGTCAGCAAGTGTTTAGAAATTCATGTTGTAATTCCAGAGAACAGAGTCAGAAACGATAGATGTTCCCCAATCAGGATAATGATCAAGAAAAACAGGTCATTGATGAGGCAATTAGAAAAGTTCTTCTGTATCATTAGTCTTTTAGAATCAGTGAGTTGAGGATCAATGGTAGGTAAAGTAGCGCAATCAAGACTTTTAATGTTTTGTGAAAAAGTTCACAGTGAAGAAGAATACTGATTGGTTAAAGAAATTTTTTTTCCTAAGAGAAGGATAGAATTTTTATGTCTAAGAAGAAGGAAGCAAAAGGAAGAGGGCTATATTTCAAAATATCTTAGATAGGAGGTGACAGACCAAGGTTTGTGGGAAAATGAAATAAGCCTTGATCAAAAGAATAGCAGGAGAAAGATCAGAAAATAATCTGAACCCCCCATCACCAAGGCAGAAAAAAGAAAGGAAAAAAACTGGGTGACACTGGGAGTTATTTTGAGCCATTGAAGAGAGAAGTTGAAGGGTTTTTAAAATATGTGTGTGTGTGTGTGTGTGTGTGTGTGTGTGTGTGTATGTATGTGTGGTGTGAGTTTAATCACTTTGCTTCTTTTATAACAAAGAATGAGATGAGATCATTTGCTAAAAGAGAGCGAGAAAAGCAAGTTGCAGTGAAGGTTTCAAGGAAGCAATAAAGGTTTTATAAGATATGAAATCAACCTAAGTGTTCATCAAGAAATGAATGGATAAAGAAAATGTGGTCTATTTAGACAATGGAAGACTACTCAGCCATAACAAATAATTAAATACTGTCATTTGCAGCTACATGGATGAGCCTGGAGGACATTATGTTAAGTGATATAAGCCAGGTTCAGAGAGACAAACACTGCACTATCTCATGCATATGTGGAAGCTAAAGAAGTTGATCTCATAGAAGTAAAGAGTAGAATAGTAACAAGAGGCTGGGAAGTAGAGAGGGGAGGAGAGGTGAGGGAAAGGTTGATAAACAGGTACAAAGATATAGTTAGAAAGGAGAAATAAGTTTTAGTGTTACCTTGCACAGTAGGGTGTCTGTAATTAACAATAATATATTGTCTCTTTCAAAATAGCTAAAAGAAAGGATTTTTATTGTTCTCTCCACAAAGAAATAATGAATAAATGTTCGAGATGATGAATATGCTAATTGCCCTAATTTGATCATTACACACTGTATATATGGATCAAAAGATAACACCATACTTTATAAATATGTACGATTAGTTGACTAGAGCTAAATAAGAGGATTGCCGAGCGATGTCAAGGCCCAATTTCAAATGCTGGTACTCCAAATGGCACAAGTGAAATTCTGGAAGAAGAAAAGGGTTCAATTGTCTCAAGGCTGGGAATTGGCTCAGGTGGAATAGCAAAAGGATAAAAGAACTAAAATAATTGAGCCAGGAATGTAATCTCATATACAAGTCAAAGAAGCTAGAAAGAGAGAGGGTGAACAACAGTGATGATGATGATGATGATGATGATGTATTAAGAAGGAGGAGGAGGAGGAGAAGGAGGAGAAGGAGGAGGAGGAGGAGGAGGGGGAGGGGGATGGGGAGGGGGAGGGGGAGGAGGGAGGATGGGGAGGAGGGGGAGAGGGAGGAGGCAAACACTGTTGCTCTTACTGTGTGCTAGGCACCGATCTACAGTTTTGACATATATAAACCCTTTTAATCCATGGGGGGTCATACCATGCATGCAAAAAATAGGTTTATTTCCTAACTAGGTGCACATTCCACACTCATACTTCTACTTACACTGTGCTTTATTTGTAAATGCATTTGCATATAATACATCATTTCTAGTACACATTAGCAAATTTGTTTTCAATTTTCTAATTCACATTCTAGATGGCTCTGGTTCAGCACTAGAAATTTAGCTCATTTTCCAAACATCACATTAATGCATGATTTAGGAAGTAAACAAGAATTGAAAATAAAATCCTCTTGGAAATTCTGTTGTTTTAAAATCTGAAGAGTTCAGTAATCCTTTAAATCTGTAATCACTAAAGAAAGCTATTGTCACTAAATCACATGTAGTTCTACAAAAACCACATAACACAAAGTTCTCCAAAGAATAATTATTGTTAAATGTTGACTATGAAACAATAATAGTATGCTACAAGACCACTTCATGCTATTTTATTTGACATTATTGAAGTCTTTATTCTCTTGCTTAGAATTGAGGTTATAGTAAATCCAGTCATGGTCATAAAATTACCAGAGGTGAAAAAGCAGTTCTCTAGTGTTTAATAAAACATGAATATTTGGCAATATGCATAAACAAGGAGACATATGAATTAAAGCTGGACTGCTAACCTATGAATTAATTTTAGCATGTGATTTATTGCAACCACAAAAATACATATTTGGTGTCTAATGTTTGATTATATTATTACTAGTAAATATAATTATATGATTAGTAGTAAATATAGATGAAAAATATTAAAATTAAAAAGACACCTTTTTTTTTATTTGAGATGGAGTCTTGCTCTGTCGCCAGGCTGGAGTGCAGTGGCATAATCTCAGCTCACTGCAACCTCTGCCTCCCAGGTTCAAGCAATTCTTCTGCCTCAGCCTTCTGAGTAGCTGGGACTACAGGCGCCCGCCACCACGCCCGAGTAATTTTTGTATTTTTAGTAGAGGTGGGGTTTCACCATATTGGCCAGGCTGGTCTCGAACTACTGACCTTGTGATCTGTCCAACTCAGGCTCCCAAAGTGCTGGGATTACAGGTGTGAGCCACTGCACCTGGCTAAAAAGGCACATTTCTTTTAAAATTTTTACATCTCATCGTAATCATCACAAAGAAACTTTACTTAAAATAGTACCTTGATGAAAATTCTGTTCAGTAATCATTTACTATAAGGATCTATAATATTTATGTTAATAGTGGCCTTTTCTTCCTCCCTTAAATGTCATATTTTTGTAAATTCTAGAAAATAATGCTTTTCATTATTTTAACTTTTTTTTCTTATTGATAGCCTTTCTGATTCCATATTTCCATTGTGAGGCTATTTTGTAAACTTAATTCTATCTGTAGAGTATTTGTTTTCTTCTACTTTTATCTTCCAAAAGTATTTAAAACCTTTGTCCTTTAATTTTCAATAACTAAGCTTTTTTAGATGAGATTAAATTCCAACTTTTTAAATAACAATCTGATTTTTAATGAATGATATAGAGAGTTTTTAATGTATTACCTTGTATAACTATTAATAGCACCTTAATTTTCATGGAATTGATCTCCCTTTTTTAAACTGAGAGCCTAGAATGAGCACAAAAAGGTTAACTAACTTGTTCAGCGTTGCAGAGCAACTAGGAAAAGATTGTGGACTGGATCCAAGATCTCCAGACACTCAAAATTTTACCTCAGACTTCCCATGAATCAAGCATACAAAGAAGGCTATACCCTGAACATCCCATCTCCATGCTCCAAACCTTTGGTCTCCTTAAGATTAATTTTTAAATCTATCTAGGAAGGCATTTGTAAATTGTCAGGAGCTGAATAGTGTCTGTCCAAAAAGCCTTTGTGTGTAAACATCTCTGAAAGAGTCAAATGATAGATAGCACAGTGGGCATTTTTTATCTTCCCAGCTTCAGCCATTTGCTAGCTTATAAATTTTTAGAGGGGAGCTACAATGCTGTTGAATTGATGATAGCAACAGACAAGAATTTAGAGACACCAAGATTCCTTCAGACAGACATTCCCCAAAGGAACTGAGAGCACTTAAGAGTTTAAGTGACACCTCTTCTCTAAAATCCCTAGAACAAAAACCTAAAAAAGCCATGGGATCTCAGGGCATCAGGTGTGAACTGACACACAATTCATCCCTTGAATTATATCATACAATTCTACAAGCTTTTACATTCACAAATCATACAGAATATGACTCCATCTATTTTTCTCTGGAAAGCAATTAGGCAAAATCTTTTATCTTCTTTTTATTTTCTTTGATCAAAAAACAGCTAGCTACCGAGGGGAATTTCCCATTAGATATTCTGCATAAGAAATGTCTTCATGTTTATGTCAATTAAAAGATATATTTCTTTTGGCAGTAATTTTGGCATATATATTTAATTGAATTGTTAATTATGTGCTATCAGAGGAAAAATTAAATAAAATTAAAGGTATTCTTGTATGCTCTTAAAAACACCAAAGTATTTTTCTAACCTATCACTACATTGACTTAAAGAATGAAGATGAGACTGTGTACTCTGTTGAAAAATATTAATGACCAACGACCAGGTAGCCTGAGTTCAAATTTCTTATCTGTCTTAAGCCACATTAAAGATTTTGAACAACTTACTTTTATTCTCTGAGCCACAGCTTCTTTATCCTAAACATAGACAGGAAATTGGTAGGTGATTTTTAGTCCTATATTGCTTGTATAGACATAACTTATTCCTAAATACTAATATTCAGCCAGCTATAGAAGGGGGAATAGTTTCAGCACTCAACTGACGTGGTAGATGGCTGGGCTTTCAGTTTAATAATCTCTGACTAAATGGGAATTTTATGCAAAACTAATGAAGTCGTTCTCATTATTCCAAAGATTCACGGGATATCTGGAATCTTCTAAAAACAACTCTTACCAAATGCATTTCGATGAGTTCTATCTACATTTATCAGAAACATATGAAACGAATTTTTCTAAGATTTAAAAATTAAATGAAAGGAACATAACAATGATTTTTGAATTTTGCAAAAGCTAAACAATTAAATCATGTAAGACACTGTGGATTTAAGAAGTTACTGAGTTTTCCCACTCTAATGCTGAGTATATATTAGTTAAAATGGCTCCTTTACTGCCCATGTTATTTCTTTTCCTAAAACTATAAGGGGATTGGGCATATGGTTAGGTTTTTCTAGCTTTTTAAAGTTGTTTGATGTTTAAGGAAAATCTGACTCAAACTCATGAGCTCCGCATGCCTAGAGAAGGCAGTTACCAACACTTCTTTAAGCCAGATGGCCTCCTTAGCATTTGTCAGTTTCCTTGAAAATGTATACCTTTAACTAAAGCAGGGCAAGGTTAAAGGGTATGGATGAATAATACCAATCACCATCAAAAGATAAGACTCCAAGAGCATCGCCTCCCAAAAGTGAACCAGGATATGAAAGACAGTAGGACACATTGATAGTGTCTAATTCTGCAGCATCCAATATGGTAGCTGCCACCCACATATGGTTGCTTAAATTTAAGTTCAAATTAATTTAAATAAAATTAAATTAAAGATTCTGTTGATCAGTTGCAATAGCCATATTTCAAGTGCTGAAAAGCCACGTGTGGCAAGTGGCTGCTGCACTGGATAGTGCATATACAAAGCATTTCCATTGTTGCAGAAATTGGCCTGAGCTGAGCCAGTATACATGCCTGGCATGTAATAGGCACCAGTGAAAATTAAAGAAAATAATGAAGACATTTTGAGTATCCAAGATGAAATGAGTAAAGTTTGTTTTTAGAGAAAACAATTTTTGTTTCACTTTTTACATATTCAAAGGCTTTGTCTCAGTCAATCTTAAACTTTTGGGGATATCTTAATATAGGTACCACACCAGAAAGAATATTAGGCTGGTCAGTTGAATTATTAAAGTGGTTTCTAACAATAACTGTAAAACATAAATTCAGCTCTATTTTTATCTCAATTGTCATTAATACTACCTTGTAGTTTGTATAAATTGAATTATATGAAACTATTTTAGCATACACAACTTTGCACATTCATTTCAGCTCAGAAAACTCTGAGAACTAAAGGTTATCATCCCTATTCTATAGATAGGAAAGTATGTTTATGCCACTGGATGAGTTATTAAAGTAACACTGCTATATTTAAATTTAGAGAAATTATGTGATAATGTATGGTAGCACAACTAATAACAAGGCCTCTCAGGCTTAAGCCCCGTTCCTGTGGCACAGAGTCTGGAACTCTTGACCCTGAATCATGTACCAGGAACACAATACCACAGCCCTTCAGCTGGCAAACTCAACTAAGACTCACATCAAATCCTTTGCATAATAAATAAAGCTGAATCTTTTGCGCTATTTTGAAGTATTTTGAGAATGGTAGAAATAATGAGAAACAGCACATCATTTTAAAATATTTTTGACATTCTTTGTTTAGTAGAGATGGTCAGATGTGATATAGAGAGATATTCATGGGATTTTACATTCCACAAGTGAAGCAGCATAACATTGTGCTCACTAGCACAAACTCTGACAGCTGCTTGGCTTCAAAGTATAAACTACACAATGTTGAGCAAATTACTTAATCTCTCAGATCTCAGTTTCCACAACTGTAAAATTTGAATAATAATATTGCTTCTCTCTAGATTTAAATACATTAATAAATGTAAAGTACTAATAATCATGCTTGGTAAATACTAAGGGCCCCAGAAATATTAGCTGGTTTTTGTTGTTGTTGTTGTTGTTGCTGCAGTTGTGATGATGTTGATGAGGCTTGACATGATAATGACTTCAAATCACTGACTATGAGAGTTTCCAAAGATGGTCCCCAGTTAGCAATGAACCTCCCAGTATTTATGCCTTTGTGTAATCTGCTTCTATATTGGACTGACTGGCTTCAACCAGTGAAATGTAGTGACACCATTCCAGTTTTAAGCCTAAGCCTTTTTAGGCCTGACAGCTTCTCCTGAGCTTTTGAGAGCCCTTGTGTTTTCATATAAGAAGTCCAGCTGACATGATACAGAGATATCATGTAGAGAGAAGATGTAGGAAGACCACAAAGAGAGGGTGAGACCTTGGAGACTAGATAGAAATGAAGAGGCCTGCCCATCCTACCACCCAAGTTCAGCCCAACCTTGCAGCCATCCTGCCAAGACACTGGAAGCCATCTTGGATGTTATAGTATTGGCCACCATTTGATGACAGCTACATGAGTGACACCAAGTTAGAACAGCAAAAGTACCATCCAGCTGAGCTCCAGTCAATCAACAGAAACCTAGGGAATAATTATATGTTGCTATTTTAAGTCACTTAATGGTGGGATGGCTCATTATGCAGCAATAGAGAACCAAAACACCTAGTATTAGTTGCAAAACTATATGTTAATCTTCAAAACCATTGATGAAACTTAAGGCCATTTGCCCATTGCCTCCACCTTTGATAATAAGTTTTTGTTTATCTGTCACATCTGCCTCATGCTTAATTTTTCCTAACACAAACTATTTTGTTTAAGCAAATCTGCTTAACCTATTGTTTAAGCAAATCTGCTTAACCTATCCTTTACATAAGCTTCCTTCCATTTTTATATCTCTTATCCATAGCATTTTCACTACCAGTGATAATATCATCTTTATTAGAGGTCAATCTATTTTTATTTTCTTCTTCTAGAATGCCTTCCTTAATTTTACTTGTATTCTTCCTTGGCTCACATGTACATATTTTGTACCACATAAATGCATTGATTTTATATGGTTTAAGATTGTGTCATTTGTGCCTCAATCAAACTTTCTCTTTGAAGAGTAGAAGTAATTTGTTTCCTATCCCCATGCAGTGTTTGGTATAAGGCACTGCTCCATATATAAACTGTCTCTCAGGGACAGACTAATATTACCAAACTCTAGAAATAACTAAAATTATCAATATGAGTTCATTAATTTATAATAAAAACAGCTATTTGCAAGGTCACTGAACAATAGACAATAGTTTCCTTACATTATGGAAATTTTAACCTCTAGGCCACAGACAA
This sequence comes from Homo sapiens, assembly GCF_000001405.40. Classification (NCBI taxonomy): domain Eukaryota; kingdom Metazoa; phylum Chordata; class Mammalia; order Primates; family Hominidae; genus Homo; species Homo sapiens. The sequence goes on from NC_000004.12 coordinate 111,668,774, forward strand.
ATTATAGTCAAAAGTTTGCCTGATGAGGGTGAAATGTTACTTATCTGATGTGAGTGCCTGATGACATTAATCGAAGAGAGTCTTATAAGCCCACATGCACAATAAGGTTATATCCACTGCCTAGCCCAGCAAGTCCTAGATTGTGTTGAATAAATTCTCCTCAAATGAATTTTATTGGGGCACTTCTACCTAATCAGTTAAATATCTTTTAAATCATCACATATAAATAATGTCTTGGATACTTTACTAGGTTAGTAAAATGCAAAGCATATTTGTACCCTGTTAGGTGGTGAAAAAGCTCACACTGACAGAGGTGGGATAATATTAGATTGAACCAGATAAAATTCTCTTTTTACTTTCTAGATAGTTTTGCAAATTTTGACAAAATAAGCATTAGTTTCAAACATGTATTAATATTTAAAACATTTATAAATATTTACTAAAATATTTGCTAAGCATTTACCATGTGTCAAGCATTAGGGATAAAGCAACAACCTAAATAAACAAAAATCCTTACCCCAGTGGAGGTTACATTTTAGGAAAAGTTTCTGGCTTACTAAAATAAATTTAAATAAATTTTGACTCCTTAAAATAAATTACTTAAAACAAATATATGCTTATATGTATATAGATATTGCTTCTTTGTATTAGAAAACATACATTTTACCTCAAATTTTGAACGTGCAATACTATCAAAAATAAGCAAATACCCCCACTGACGCTGAGATTAAGAACTGCAGTTTGCCAGACATGTAAAATGTTAACCATACCTCCTAGTGCATGAGTTGTAAAGCATTAAGTCATTGTATTCACATCAAGAATCATCAGAGCTCTTTAAAAAGTGATTTAAAATTCTTAAGCAAATCCGAAGCAAATGTCCAGTGCAGTCTATGTTCTCTGACATGTTTTAAATTAATGCTTATTTTGTTAAAATTTGCCAAAATATTTAGAAAGTGAAAAAAAGAATATTATTTGGTACCATCTAACATTATCTCACCTCTGTCAGTATGAGCTTTTTCACCACCTAACAGAATATAAATATGCCTTGCATTTTACTAACCTAATAATGTATCCAAGAGATCATTTACATGTGAGGAATAAAAAAAAATTTAATTGGCTAGGTAGAAGTGCTTCCTTTCCCACCCTCTACCTTCTCTCTAGAAGTATAAGTATTTAGCCTTCAGTAATACAGTGGGGATGACCTGAACATGTCCATAAACACATTTCCCTCTGCTTATCTAGGGCTCTCTTCCATTCATTGGGATCAGTGTTTAGATTATTTCCAGAGAGGGGACAGCACCTCATCAATGCCTGTGAAATGTCAAGGGGTCATCTGAGAATGAATTCACCATTGGAGCCTGGAAGGAATGCATTTACTTTTAACAGGCTACAGTTTTAGCCTGTGAAAAATTAGTACATCAAGGGATAGCCATTTAAGGAGGGTTAAAGTTACTCCACCATTAAGCCTATTGGAGTGAAATGACCAACACTTCCTGGAAGCTCCAGAGTGGGAAAGGAAATGGTGGCAACAAGGCTAATTGTAAAAATACAACCTGCGGTAGTAGTGATTCTAATAATAAAAACAATGCTGACAGTACTCAAAGGGTTACAAATCTGAGTTACTATATGTAATTCCCAAAAAGATTCCTCGCTATAACATTATACCACTTGTCCCTAATAAGCACCTTTATAATACAGATATTTCTTTAGCATATTTTTATTAATATCAAGCATTTTCTATGTTATAAAAATACAAGATACACTGTAGTTGTTTTATTTTTGACCAGTAAGACTCTTCCTACTTTCCAACGTAAACATGTGACACAAATTTATTTGCTGAAGACTTCTACTATAACTCTTATGGAAAAATCAGAACACTTAAGATCAAATTCACTGACCTGGTCAAAGAGAAGATTACATGTGGCTCCATAATACAGTAGAAAGATCATAAAGTCAAGCAGTTATTAGCTGTTTCTCATTGAATAGATATTTAACTTCTGCTTCCTCATCTATTAAGAAAAGTCTAATAATATCACTTCAAAACGTTATCGGATGGAATGAGTGTGAAATACCTCATACATTGCCAAATCACTGAAGGTTAATATGTCTATTTCTTATAAAGCCATATGAAAGGCCAGGCATGGTTGCTCATGCCTGTAATCCCAGCACTTTGGGAGGCCAAGGCAGGCGGATCACCTGAGGTCAGGAGTTCAAGACCAGCCTGGCCAACATGACGAAACCCTGTCTCCACTAAAAATACAAAAATTAGCTGGACATGGTGACAGGCACCTGTAATCCCAGCTACTTGGGAGGCTGAGACAGGAGAATCACTTGAACCCAGCAGGTGGAAGTTGTTGCAGTGAGCCGAGATAGCGCCACTGCACTCCAGCCTGGGCAGTGGAGATTCTGTCCCAAAATAAAATAAAATAAAATAAAATAAAATAAAATAAAATAAAATAAAAATAAATAAAACCATATGAAGGAACAAGTCATATTTGAACGAGTGAAAGTAAAGAAATTCCTAACACATCCAAAATATTTATTAACATTAATCACCATCATGTAACCCAAACAGGCTCCCTCATAGGACTAAAGACTTCACCATTCCCATAGGAAGCCTTTTTCGTTAAGTGTACCAGCTTCAAGCAGCTAGAAACAAATTTGATTTAGCAATTCAAAGGTAAGGATACAAGGATTTTCATAAGGTAATATGTAATAAGGTAATATGTAAATATGAATTTTAAACTAGGAGCTTCATTGGCCTTCAGGGCTGGCCCTTGCAGAGAATGGAGCAAGAATGTCTGTACATAGATCACAGCCACACAGTTTGAGATTGAGTCTTGTGTGGAAGTTCCTGACAATCAGATTTTCGCAGCCAAAACATTGTTGACAAGGAGCCTGGAAACTGTAGACAAGACTAAAACCTCTTCTGGTTGGCTTTAATAGTAGCCTTTGCAAAATCGTAACTGTAGATTAGATGATTTTCAAAAGGCAGAAAGTTGAATTAATTTTATGCTCCTTTTTTCAAATATCCTTCCAATATATCGTCTAAATTTCTACTGTTACAGTCCTTTCCTAATCACTTCAGTAGAAAGAGAGCAACTCAGAAGCTAGTGAATTTTTTTCTAAGAAAGTCAGACCTATGCTAAATCTAATAAGAGGATTAGCACAGACTTCTGGCCTGCTATGCTTTTATTTATGTGCGGCTCATAAAGACATGCTGCTGATTCCCATTTAGCTTGTTATCCACTCTAATCCCATTATTTTTCTGCTACTGTTGCCTCACTCTGGAAGGTTCAGTCTTGTGTCCTCAGGATAGTTTTCTCTTCACAGGTGAATTGTTCTTTATTGTCTCTATCAAATCATCACTCATCAAAGGCATCTTGAAATGCAATGCCCCTCTCCAGAATCTCACTTTTGAGGTACAGTCAAAATACCTACAAAGGCCTGAATGATTGGCAAATAAAATTATCATCAACATATACTAAGTATTATAAAATGGTTATGAGAGTGTACAGATTGCAATGGATAACAGAAAGACACCTAATGCTTGTCCTCAAAGTGGTAAACTGCCTGGCGAGGCCTGAAGTCCAGAAACACAAGCAGTGTATGGAGCCAAGGACAAGTCAGCAGTCTGAAGAGGAGAGGCTGAGGTCAAAGTGTTTTAAAGAACAGCCTTGAAGGAAGGTTAAGATGCTCTTCAAAGTAAAGGGGAATTCCAATGACAAGGGCAAGAGAGACAGTTGTAGAAAAGGCATAGAGGATTCCTAGAGCCTATTTAGGTCATCCTGAGAGGACCAGGGTGCCTGAAATCAAGACTTCACTCAGAGACTGAGAGAGAAAGAACCTAGGTAGATGTGCTGGTACGAAACTATGGAGAGCACTTCATACTAGGACAGGGCATCAGAATATTCAAGAGGGTAGTATGGCATGCCGTTTAAAGTATAATCTGAAAAGCTGGGTTCAAGTCTAGGTGATGTTGCCAATCAACTGTGAGTTTGGGGGAAAGTTTCTTGCACTTATTTCTTCAGGTATAAAGTGGGAATTCCAATAGTACCCATTCTCAAGGCACATGTGGGTACACAAGACAATACATGATTAATAATACTGGCCTGAGCCAGGCACTGTGATACAAGGGAGCACTAAAGATTTAGGGGAGCAAAGCACATTCAATTCCTGTTTTCAGGGGTTTAGGTTAAGAAGTTTGGGATTTAATCTGTTGGGTGAAAGGCAGCCCCTTTTTATTTGTTTTAAACAGAGAAGTATTGAGATGAAAACTGACTTGGAGGTAAATAATTCACTAGTCATGTAGTGGAATATTTGTATAGGGTAGCAACAGCTAAAGGTAATACCAACAAGGGGCTTTATAGCAGAAATGTTAGAATGACTTTCTAGCTAAGAGTGATAAAAGATCAAAACTGTGGATCCAAAGGAATGCCCATCATTTGCATGTTTGCCTGAGATCTGAAGTAGTAAAATGGAGAGGAACATCATAGTTAAAAGGGCACATACTCCTCCTGTGGAATTTTACCTTTTTTGCTTTTTAGACTTCATAGTCATTATCTATATGCACTAAAGAAATAAGAAACCATTTACTGACTTATGTCTTAATTCTCCTGAGATTGGACAGTTGATTATAACAACTGAGCAGCAAACTACTTCTATCAAAAGCAAGAATAAACCAGGCAAATCAAAACAATTTGTGTGAGCCGTTAAATAAGAAAAAAGAGTAAGTTAATGGAAAGAACACAGAGCTGGAAGCTCAGTAAATCTGGCCTGAGTCTTACTGCTGCCATTGCCTCCTTGAAAAAAAAAATCACTCTTTTCTGGGTCTTAGTGTCTTCCACATGAAGATACAGAACCCAAGGTTTTCAAAAGTCCTCCTCAGTTGATCTCATAGAAGTAGAAAATAGGATAGTGGTTACCAGAGGCTGGGGGATAGGGGTTAGATGGGAAGAGGGTGGCCAACAGGTACAAAGTTACAGTTCGATAGGAAGAAGAAATTCTGGTGTTCTTTCACACACTAGGGTGACTATAGCTAATAACAGTTGTTAAATCAAGTTTAGCCTAAAGCTGTCTTCTTACCTACTTAAGTTCAGCCTAAAGGTTTTTCTGTACATTGTGAACTATATAACACATGGAGGTATAAACAGACTGAGTAGCCTACACTTGTGCCAATCACCAAGTTTTGGCCAAACAAAACTCCAACCATGTTGGTCAACTGCTCCAACCATGTTCGAATAAGGCAAATGTTGAGCTGTAATCAATCCAGTTGTTTCTGTACCTCACTTCCGTGTTCTGCATGTCTTTCCTTTTTCTGTCCAGAAATCTTCTCCCACCATGTGCCTGCACTGGAGTCTCTGGACCTATTCTGGTTCGAAAGACTTTCCAATTCATGAATCGTTGATTGTTCAATTAAACTCTTTTAAATCTAATTTCGCTGAAGTATTTTCTTTTAGCACAGTATATTATACACTACAAGATAGCTAGAAGAAGGCTGGGCACGGTGGCTCACGCCTATAATCCCAGCACTTTGGGAGGCCAAGGTGGGCAGATCACCTGAGGTCAGGAGTTCAAGACCAGCCTGGCCAACATGATGAAATCCTGTCTCCACTAAAAATGCAAAAATTAGCTGGGCGTGGTGGCGCATGCCTGTAATCTCTGCTACTCAGAAGGCTGAGGCATGAGAATCACTTAAACCTGGGAGGTGGAGGTTGCAGTGAGTTCAGATTGTGTCACTGCACTCCAGCCTGGGCAACAGAACAAGACTCAGTCTCAAATAATAATAAATAATTAATAGTAATATAACTAGAAGAGAATTTTCAATTTATCACCACAAAGAAATGGTAAATGTTTAAAGTGATAGATATGCTAATTACCCCAATTTCATCATTATACAATGCACATATGCATTGAAACACCACACTGCACCCCATTAATATGTCATTATGTGTCCACTGTAAATAAAAGTTTAGAAATGTAAAAAAAAAAAGTCCTCCTAGCTCCCAAATTCCAGAATTCTATTACATAACTCAAAGAGCCATTCCAGCCAACAGGGTGTGGTAGCTCACACCTGTAATCCCAGCACTTTGGGCGGCCGAGGAGGGCGGATCACAAGGTCAGGAGATTGAGACCATTCTGGCTAACACTGTGAAACGCCGTCTCTACTAAAAATACAAAAAAATTAGCCAGGCGTGGTGGTGGGCGTCTGTAGTCCCAGCTGCTGGGAAGGCTGAGGCAGGAGAATGGCGTGAACCCGCCAGGCGGAGCTTGCAGTGAGCGGAGATCGCGCCACTGCACTCCAGCCTGGGCGACAGAGCGAGACTCCGTCTCAAAAAAAAAAAAAAGCCATTCCAAACCATCTACTCTTGTAGAGAGAATTGTTATGTTCTCTTGAAGGTTAGCATCATTTTCAGCTCTTTTGATATGGGAGGGGGGCAGGGAAAAGCTGGATAGAGAAAGGCGGGTCCCTGGCTAGGGCTCCACCCTCGGGCCTGTGCCTAAGGACCTAGGTCAGGACAGGCACTCCTCCCTTCACACCAAAATGTTACATCTCCCAAGACCACCCTGTCCTGCCACAACCCGATCCTGTGCCTATAAAAACCCCGAGACCCTAGTGGGCAGACACACATGAGGCTGGACGTCGAGAGAAACACATCAGCGGAAGAACACACAAGCGGCTGGACATCGAAAGGACGTCTAGGGTAGCATGCCAGCGAAAGAACACACTGATAGACGCTGGCAGGCCGGCAGGCCAGCAGGCCATCCACTGGCGGAATGACGTGGAGATTGGTCAAGGCAGACAGAAGGGAGCCCGGACCGCTGAGTGGCCCAACTCCAGGGGAAAACCACCTTCCCACTCCCTCCCGCTTCTGTCCTCCCCATCCACCTTGCTGAAAGCTTCTACCATTCAATAAAACCTTGCACTCATTCTCCAAGCTCACGTGTGATCTGATGCTTCCAGTACACCAAGGCAAGAACCCTAGCATACAGAAAGCCCTCTGTTTTTGCGATAAGGCAGAGGGTCTAATTGAGCTAACACAAGCCGCCTATGGACAGTTAAACTAAAAGAGCACCCTGTAACACGCCCACTGGGGCTTCAGGAGCTGTAATCATTCACCCCTAGACACTGCTGTGGGGTCAGACCCCCTCATTCTGCTAGCCTGTATGCTCCCCCTAGAGGTTTGAGCAGGGGGGCACTGAAGAGGCCAGCCACTCCCCCTGTCACATGCCTGCGGGGGACAAGGGAACCTTTCCGGTTTCAATTACTTACATAATTTCACTTACTTACATATTCACTTACCTACATAAAATACATATAAGTAACACAGTATTTTTCCAGTGGCATGTGGGAGCCAGACATAGGTGCAGCCTACTGTTAAATTTTTAGAAGTATCGAAAGCCAGTTGACGTTAGGCTATGAAGTTAGAACTGATCATGCTGGGATCATTTGTACCCTATACCTTTTCAAATGCTCCACATAATGCCTTTGTTTTTGAGTTTTATTTTGTTTTGTTCGCCTTTGGAAAGCCAGTTTTTAAACATTTATCAGCGCACCACTAGTCCTCCTTGAGTGGGGTAAGTAAACCAATACTGTTAAACAACAAAGGTCTTCTGCTTTTGAATTATGATTGGCTCCATGCTAAAAATAGTAGGAATTGTTTCAAAGAGTAATTTAAAACAAATTAGTTACACTTAAAACAATGTGCAGTGAGATGTCACAAGTAACAAAACTTCCACTCTTTCATGTTATCTTTTCCTGTTGTCTCAAGATAATTTTCATTTATATAAATGAAAGCTACCCAGAAGCTATAAACCCTAATTCCAAACCTAGCTGGAAATCACAATCAAGACTTCTAGCTATTAATAGAGTGACTTGTCCCCAGTAGGATGTCCCAGGAAGTGAATTAGCTTTGCATTAAACATCACCAGGGATAAACAAGAAAACTCACTCTAGAAGCACTGCCAGTGGCTTAACATCAACTCACAGAAAGAGCTCAAGGCAAGCTTCACTCCTAATAAATATCTTGATATTGAATCTAAGAGACTCTAAATTTGGTTTGCAAGATTGCCAACACATGTTACAATGCTTCCTGGGGCCCAGCACCACCACAGAATCATTCTAAAGAAAGCCAACAGTAGTGGGTGAGAGAAGAGCTTTATATCTGGATTCAGTTTCTCATAAATGAAATAAATGTGTCTTTTTAAGGCCTTCCGCATGCCTGTTGACAAAAATAAGAAACGCTGCAGATTTACAGGGCAAGAAGACCGAAGTTCCAAGAGTCTTTGTCCCAGAAAAGTTAAATATTTGAAGCTAACTTGTTACAAAATCCTGCCAGAACTCTCCAGACAATAATCAGAATTTGTGTTGAAGAGAGTGACCAAGTACAATAATCTCATGAAGTTTTGAGCTGCGGATTCTTTTATTTTTCTCACTGTTTTCATCAAATGTACTCTATACAACAGTAAGGATAACAACAAAAATAACTGACGTTATTACTGTTTGGCACATCATCTGATGTTAGGCAGTGCAAGCCATCTGTTTACCCAAATGTGAGTGTAAATTTTTAAAGAAAAATTTTAAAAGTGAAATTGCTTAAGGACCTATGATAGAGATCAAAGCAAATATCTGAAAACTTCTCTCAGTTCAGAAGTGTGAACTTGATGTTATCCAACTGTGTTCAAAATGTGACTTAAACTTCATTTCCATTTCTAAGAATAATGCCCATAAAATAAGCTAATCATTCATTCCTTTGTGAGCCTATCAAGCTAACAACTGTTAGAAGTATTAATAATATCAGTATTTTAAAGTGTATACCATTTGTAAATCAACAGCATTTGCTAACTAGTCCTGTAAGAATTACTGGGAAATGGAAAGATAAAAACGTTTTTTTACAATGAAAAACATGTAAAATTGGCAAAATCTTTAGCTCAATAATTAATATCAACATCACATATCTTAGTCCTAAATCTGTTCTTTTCTTCTAATAAATATTATTTTGAGCCCATCAATAAACATTTCCTGAGATAAGATAAAGGATAAAAGATAGTCTTAAAAATAAGGAAGGCATCAAATAAAACTTTCCAAGTATAATCTTATTCTCTTTTTGGTATTGGTATTATTGTTATCAATATTGTTAATTATTAACATCATTAAAATGATGCAGGGATTTACTTCTAACAGGAAAATGAACAAGGTTTCTCTCATGTTTATGTAAAATTACTATAAAATATGAAGTCTCCTCTATTCTCAGGAAAGAGAATTTTTGATTGTGTGTAGTGATTTTCATTTCTGTTGAAGTAGCTATATCTGTTAGTTGGCCAAAAAAATTATAAAGTAAAAATGTTCACTTTGAAATTTGCACGCAAATTTTGCAATAAAAACATTTTTTAACCTGTAAACAATTTTTATCTAATGTAGAGGATTTCTGCTGCTGCTACAAAACAAAAAGTAATCACACCAAATACATTAAAGGCGTCACACTAACCAAGCCTGACAGTGCTAGGATCGGGAATCAGACATAATCTTATTATTTGGCTGTAGTTTGGACAGCTTCTAGGCATGACTTTAAAAACAGAATTTAAAAGATTACTTTCTAAAATGGCATTTTCCCATTCAAGCTTCTGTTTCCAATTTGTATTCTCTCTCACACTCCATTTCTCTCCTTACTCCCTTTTCTAACTCAGCCTCTTTTTTCTCCTCTAGTCACCTTCTTGCTTCTCCTCTAGGCTTCTTGGCCAGCTATTTGTGAAGTCCTGACACACTTCCATGGGATTTCCTGTTTGCCTATTATGAACTAAATGCAAATTGTCTCAACATTATGCTAACTGTGAAAGACCAGGTTAGAGGATAGCTCACATGTAAAGTCATTGTTGTTTAGTGAAACATTGACATGGGGCCAAATTTTTCTTAAATGAGTTTACCAAAGGCCGTTATCAAGAAACTAGATCTTAGGAAACATTTATACAAAACATGGTGATAGTGGGAACCAGATGCTTTGGTTTCTATTACAACACTTTTGGGGGGTGGTTTTTTTTTTTCTGGTATAAAAAGCAAGTTTCCATGCTTTATCATAGACATGTTGCAGTAAGCTGTATCACAGTTTGCCTCCAGTAATCTGTGGCTGTTCTTAATATAAATGGAGAAGAGCTATGAATTCCAAACTGACATGGTTTCCCTGGTGTGAACGCCAGATTTTTCTCTAATCCCAAGATTAGATACTGAAGTGCTGCTTCAATTGTACAATATTATCACATCCTATCACTTGGCCCCATTTCAACCTGGAGCATTTATTGACAATACTTTCCAAGTTGTTGCTAAGTTGTGAGCTCTCCACCTTATCTGTTGCTCCTTCTACAGTCTTAACTAGCAAGGCTCCCTTAGAGGAAATGTCCTGCGAATACAGCCACCAGATACAGTCAGATACAGCCAGATACAGCCAGCTTGTTTTGGCCTCCTTTAATACGAAAGACCCTTAATAGTTATAAACATTTATTTACTCTCGATTTCTTTTTCACGTGGAAGGGTCAGTCTACTTTGATTTGTGTGTGTGTGTGTGTGTGTGTGTGTGTGTGTGTGTGTGTGTGTGTACATATGCTAATGTCAAATACCTCTCTCATTCTCTGTTTAGATTTCTTATTGACCTCCTGAAAGCCATGTGAAGATATGAAGAATTATTTGTTCTTATTCACAGCTTTATTTTTCCCCTTAAAACATTACGTATGTGCATTTCTAGTATAAACAGTGAATTAAGCACTTTAAAATCAGGTAAAAGCCAATACTCTTACAACAGTAGACAATGACGGCAGCAGAAATATCTAGAGATATGTGATGAGAAAAACACCTCTTGTCAGCTGAAAATAGGACTTTCCAAGCTTCCTGGATCATTGGAGTTTTATAAATACATAATTGCTCACACACAAAACACTGGGCAACCTTGAATCAGCTTGTCATCTCCACTTGGATATCTCATAAACATCTCAAAAGGAGCAAAAGTGAACTTCACATCATCCCAGAAAATTCATTCTTTTGGCAGGATTCTTCAACCTAGTTCCTAGCAACTCCATCCTTCCAGTTGTTTAGACAACAATCCCAAGGTCTTCATTGATTCTCTTTCACTCTACATCCAATCATTCTACAAATCGTGGGTTTAACACTCAAATCCAACCACTCCTCACCATGACTTTTCCTCTGGTTTTGGCCACTATATGCTCTTACATGAGTTTTTGCATTAGCATCTTAACTAGCCTTTAAGCTTTCATCCTTCTCCTTCTTTAAGTCTTTTCTTAACAGAGTAGCCAGTGATTCTTGTTAAAGCATTTTAGATTACAGCAATTTTATACTCAAAACTTTCCAATGGTGTCCCTCCTTACTCAGAGAAAAAACAAACAAACAAAAAACCTTACCCATTATAGTGGTCTTTCAGGCTCTGCAAAATCTGGTCATCATTTCCTACCTACCCTAGGCTTTTCCCACTCACTCCACAGACACAAGTCACTTTCCCACTGCTCCAACACAGAGGCCATGCTCCCCACTTCATGGGGAACTTAGAAAGTGCCTGGAGCATAGAGCTATTTGGTAAATATGTATGGAATGTTTAAATGTTCTGTATCTATTACACATCATTGAGTATGTCATTTGTGTTTGGCTCATTGGCACAGTACTTTTTTTTGATTGGACTAGAATTACTAACAATGGAATAAAACATGAGAAAAAGGAAAATCCAATTTTATTTATTGGCACTTGCTGTTTGCTGGTACGCCTAATATCCGCCTGGGTCACCCTTGACCTTTTTCAGGTCTCTATTAAAATATGGCCTTCTCTGGGATGCTTTCTATGACCTGCTTAAAATTTTAAGCCTCACGTATCTCCCTATCCCCTTTCTCTATTTCCATTTTTCTCCTTACAACATTTCACAATCTGTCGTACAATCTATTTTCTTATTGACTGTGTTTATTGCCTATCTCCCCTTACTGGAATATAAGTTCCACGAGGATAGGTATGTTGATCTGTTTTGTTTTCTGCATTATTCTTAGTACTTAGAAAGTGCATGGAGCATAGAGGTCCCCAATAAATACGTGGGTGGGGGGGTGGTGATAATGTGTATCTACTGCATGTCATTGAGTATGTCGTCTGTGTTTGGCTTGTTGGCATGGTATGTTTTCCGGATTGGAATAGAATTATTAATAATGGAATAAAACTTGAGATAAAGTAAAATATGATTTTATTTAATCTCTGTTAAAATGATGATAATCTATTGATTTCGTTAAAGAAAAATAAAGAATCTACATTTTTGTAAACATAACTGCTATATATACAACAGGCTAAATATTCCCAAACGTTAGAATTTCTATGTGTACTTCATCTGTTTTATAAAACGTGTATAATCTGAGGAAGAAAAAATTAAAAATTGTAATGACATACATAATAAATTGAAACAAATATGGAATACTAAAAACTTAAAATGTGCAATATTGAGTTACACATAAAATAACATAATCTGAGGGGCTATAAGATACTTGCACAGTATACTTCAAAAGTATTTTCATTTAAGTATTTCATACACAAGTATAGCTGAGATATAAACTGGGGGACTCTGCTAGCATTTGGACAGCTTTCTTTGACCTATGGAAGCTCTAAGTCGTTCTCCAAATTTCAGTTAATTATCAGAGGACTTTGTCCTCAGTTCCTTTCGTCCTCAGCCTTTGGCCTTGTGCCTTCTGACCAGCTCTCTGACCAGCATTGCACAAAAGTCTCCTTGTAAACAAGGAAACAATCCCTTTTGATATTGTCAGAGGCATCTGAACCAGAGCGACTCCATCTTGAATAGGGGCTGGATAAAATGAGGCTGACACCTGCTGGGCTGCATCCCCCAGGAGGTTAGACATTTTTAGCCACAGGATAAGATTGGAGGTCACAAGATTCAGGTCACAAATACCTCACTGATAAAACAGAATGCAATAAAGAAGCTGGTCAAAACCCGCCAAAATCAAGATGGTGACGAAAGTGACCTCTGGTCTTCTTCACTGCTCATTACATGCTAACTATAACGTATTAGCATGCTAAAAGACACTCCAACCAGAGCCATGACTTTTACAAATGCCATGGCAATGTCCTGCTCTATATAGTTTAAAAGCAAGAGGAACCCTCAGTTCCGAGAAATCCCCACCCCTTTCCCGGAAAACTCATGAACAATCTGCCCCTTGTTTAGCATAAGATCAAGAAATAACCCTAAAAATAGCCAACCAGCAGCCCTTGGGGCTGCTCTGCTTATGGAGTAGCCATTCTTTTGTTCCTTTACTTCTTTAATAAACTTGCTTTCACGCTACTCTGTGGACTCACCCTGAATTCTTTCTTGCCCAAGATCCAAGAACGTTCTCTTGGGGTCTGAATTGGGAGCCCTTTCTGGTAACAATATTACTAAAGATTTTAGATTGTCACCTAGCCATGAAGGCTAATGAATGTCTTTGCTAAAATAAAAACATTTCTCTCCACAAGGAAAAATGCTAGTTATAACTGCTAATAGAAGTTATAGCTATAGCTGCTAATATAAAATAAGTAAAAAGAAAATACGATAAGTATAACTTAGAAGAAGCCAGGAATAAGATTAGTACATAAAATGTCTACTGCAAGGTAATTAACAAAGATAACCAACTCTGAATTTTGTCATAACCATTTCAAAGCAGAAACCTAATCAAGTTCATGATTCTGTAGCCATAAGTTTAAAAATAAAATATTTCAAGGAAACTCAACTATCCATAGTATTACAATCAATAAATGCCTCCTATTTCTTCATTCAAAAGATACTGTGTAATAAGGTAAGCAGAGTCCTAAAAGACATCTTAAATGAGACAATGCATATAAAAAAATAGGCCAAAAGGCATAAAAGCTGAGGACAATTTAGTCAGAACTAATTATTGAGGGAAAGAGTAAATTCACTGATTTCTTTGCCACATCACTAGTAGCATGTAGAGTAGCAAGAAATGTTCAACATTTGTTGAAGACAGTTTTTAAAAGTCAAATGAGTTACTACTTCTCCTTTAGTTCTCTATAATCATAATCACTGTGTGTTCTTCCATAGGCAAGTCAAGACAGTATTAATTTATTCTAAAAAAGAATGTATTTAAGCTAAATTATTCAATTAATTACATAATTTGGCACCTGAATTATCTTATATTTTAAAACTATAACGTTACAGTGAGTATATAGAATATATACTTATATAGAATATAAACTGAGGGAAGAAAAGCATCATAACACAAAGAAGAAATTGATTCTATTTTGGTAAAACACAATACAAAGGAAAAAAGAAGTTACTTTCGGTTTGTGTCATAGCCCAATCGTATATGTTTGGAATTGTTCCCTGGATGTGAATCTTTTGTATAAAGACATTTGCTAGCTCTTAAGAGAGACAGTGAAAGAGGCGAAGTAAATATGTGTGTAGAATCTAAGAGCTTCTAAATGAAACTAATTCAGTGATTTAAATATAAATGAGTCTAAAACATACGTACTAATTTTCCTTTAAAATGTACTTTCATGAAAAAAATGAGCTTCACAACTTACAGTGCATCATGTAATGAATGACCTCCCTCAGTTTTAGCCATGTCTACATTGTAATTTTATTAAAGCCACTTTAGTCTAAACTATATTTTTTCCATCAGCTACATCTGATTAAAAACCTTAGAAAAGGCAGCCAGGCATGGTGGCTCACACCTGTAATCCCAGCACTTTGGGAGGCTGAGGCGGGCAGATCATCTGAGGTCAGGAGATTGAGACCAACCTAGCCAACATGATGGCAAAACCCCATCTCTACTAAAAATACAAAAATTAGCCGAGCATGGTGGTGAGTGCCTGTAATCCCAGCTACTAGGGAGGCTGAGGCAGGAGAATCGCCTCCCAGGGAGGCAGAAGTTGCAGTGAGCCAAGATCTTGCCACTGCACTCCAGCCTGGGTGACAGAGCGGGACTCCATCTCAAAAATTAATAAATAAATAAAATAAAAATAAAAATTTAGAAAGGACTAATGTGAAAATGGGACCAAGGGCCAGAAGCTTGCTGTTATAATTCCATCTCTAATTTTAATTGTACAGGGGTTGGTTTTGTTTTCTTTTGTTGTTTATTTGTTTGTTTTTGCCTCACAATGCAAATATGAAGAAGGTGACTGAAAAATAATATATACATGATTCAAAAGCTAAATTAGCATACCTTTCCCCTACTTCCTCTCTTCCAAGTCTCCTTTACATCAGTAAGGACATAGGCTGTTATTTATTCAGTTACAGTTGTTTCCTACTGATATCAGTTCCTTGCCTCAGTTTCCCTATGCTCTATTGGTTTTAAATATTTTGAATCAACCCTAGATGAAATTTATGGACAGTAGATATGTTTTAAGTTACTCTTTCAAGAAAAATCTTAGACAGGCCCAGGGATCCATTTTGCAGGAGAAAAAAAAAAAAAAGAAAAAGAAAGAGAAAGAAAGAACAAAAGAAAATCATGTGTAAGAATTACGGCTGGAACATGAGGCTCAAGGAAGCTCTACTTGTGAAATAGTTGTACCAATTGGCCTTTCTGCCCATCCCCTCTCATATAGCTTTTATTAACCAAAAAAGAAAGAAAAGAAAAGAAAAGAAAAGGAGAAGAGAAGAGAGGAGAAGAGAGAAGAAGAGAAAAGAAGAAAAGAAAAAAGAAACCCAGTGATCATCTCAATTGAAAAAGTGATTAATCTGCGTGGGCAGACCTAAGTGGGAATGTTGGAGTCTCAACACAAACTTTAACAATTCTGCTTTTTATGGGTCCTTCAGTCAACTCCTTTGTTCCCCACCCTATATCACACAGTGAAGCCTGTCAGCCAGCCAATTACACCCTTGTCCCCAGTCAAACTTCTCAATCATGGAAGAGCCCATCTAGAGAAAATTCACAAGAGCTAGCAGAAATAATTAGTTTGTCCATCATTTTCAAACATGAGCAGACAACCAAAAACCACAAGACATATGGGCAAATCAATTTGAAGAACTTCAATTGATAGGAGAGGGGAGAAGTTCCTGTCCCAAGCTGGGCAAATTAGCCCCTTCCCTGGGATTTTTGAACATAAGACCAAGAGAATTGGCTCAGTTTATCCTTAGTCACTTAAGACAAATCTATGTAAAATCCAGACTTTTTGTTTCCTGTGTTTTTTGTTTTGTTTGCTATGTGGAAAAAACAATAAATCTACAATATGAAAAAAGAAAATGGGCACTCAGAGAAACACAGAGAACAGAGACAGTTTTGTCAGCATTCAAATTATGTTCTGTTTTATTAATTTCTGAGGCTGAGATACATCCATGCTTTTCCAGAAGCTTGGCACTTTCATGTAATTTTGCTAAATTTAATTTTTAAGTTAGTTTGAGGTGACTCTGAACAAATATAGTGTCTTTGTATATTATCAAAGTGGATATTATATATTTTTGATAATGCACCAAAATTAAGTAATTCTTTTGAACTTCAGACATAAATGAGATGCAACAAGTCATGAAACTAACTTTGATCTACTTACATAACTTATATTTTCCCCTTTACAACTATTAAGATGCTATACACATATTCCAATAGCACTACTGATTCAAAAATGCCCTTGAAGCTGAATTTTTGTAATTTGTCTTCTCAGCATTTTTTACAGAACCTTAACTTGTTTCAAAGATTCATGGCATTAAAAGTGGTAAATATCATGTTTTCTCAATTTCCATCTTTATAAGTTAGAACGTGAAATTTTCTCAGGCACACTAAGTATGGGGGTAAATGAAGATCAAACGAGTATGTTTAGCCTCATTCATTCAATGTCTTAGTCGCTCAACTGAGCAACAGTCACCACTGTGATGTTTTTGACTATTATGCTATAAATGATTTTTTGTATCCATATTGGGCCTTTATTTGAACATGATTATAAAGTAATAAAGAGCTTATATTTGTTTAGGTTGGCTAAGTTATGCTATAGCAACAAACAATCCCAAATTCTCAGAAATAATTTGTCTTTCTTATTTATAGGATATACCCAATGTGGGATTGGTGGGGTTGCAGGGCACAGAGGTACTCCATTAAATGCAGTCACTCAAGGACCAGGATAGTGGAGATGATGGTGTTACCATCTTGTAACTATACCATCTAGAGATGTGGCCTTCTTTGTAACCATGGCAAGGGAAGAGAAAAGACTGGACAATGGACTTTTCACAGCTTTGGGCCAGAATGGCATGTGTCATTTCTCCTCACAAAATGTCCACTGGCAAAAATTAGTTTTATGTCTTCCCTAACTACAAGGAGGCTAAGAAATGTAAGAGAACCAATGGAAAATTCTGACACAGAGCCTGAGGTGATGACACGGCAAATTCACTTCAGAATAACCTTTACTAGCTTCCTATAATCAACAATCCTATATTATACATAATAATGCCACTTTTATACTATAAAATAAATTCACTGTTTAAAATATTTGTGACAACTATTCCCAATTATGGGAAAAAAAAATTTACCCCATCAGTAATGTCATGTAATTAGAGAAAAGCTTACAAAAAAAGAAATCTAAATGTTTTATATTATCAATATAAAAAATTATAGAAATAATTTAACTGTTTTGTTAAGCAAAAAGTGCAAATAAAAAGACTAATATCTTTCCACTATGAATTTTTTTCTATTTTGATTCTGTATAACATACTTAAATTTTATGTAAACATTTTAAATGATCCCAAACCAAATGTAAAATATTAGGTTATTTTCAAATTTATTAGTTAGCAATCATATTTTACTTACATAATTTATTTAAAGTAAGTTTAATGCTTTTTAATTTGTTAAATAAAAACATATTTCATATAATAAACACTACTAAAAATTGAATTATAAATAAGCCCTATAATAAAATCTTTAATAATGCACTGACCAAAAGATTTTTATTTACTTAAAATTGTTTCCTATCATGTAACATGGAATTTCTTTTCCAAAATTCCTATTTATTTTTTAAGATAATCTGTAGTGGTATAAATAGATTGCTAGTAGGAAAAAAAAAAAAAAGAAAATATACACTTAGATATTGCTAGTATAGAAAAAAATCACTGTGCTGAAACTGGGAAATCTGAGTTCTCAGACTACCTCTGCACTCCATTTCCCTTGTCAGTAGATTAAGGGTTCGCTTCACTGAAGACCGCTGTAGTGCAAACAGTGGACCCTCACAACCCTCACACAGCCTTTCATCAGACCGAGGCTTCACAGCAGAAAGGCACTAAGAGCCTTGCTCAGGCGCAAAGAGCAGTGACAGACCCAAAGAGCAAGTTCCTCTTATTCTGCATCCTTCTGTCCTCTTCCATACGCTCTTGAATTATTTCTTAGGATTACTGCTTTAGGTAAAAAAGTGAAGCAAAACTCATGAAGAAGAGAATGAACAGGTAAATCAAATTTTATAAGAAAAATACCAACAACAAAATGCAACAAAATAAGAAAAAAATTGTTTTTACCACAAAGGACTGGTCACTCCAGTCCTGATAGGAGTTTTGATGTGGCATGAAGAGCTTCACTAGAAATACACGATCTATGTCCTAAAAGTTTGAATAAAACTATAGCAAATTAATCAATGTGGAGAATTTGTCTAAAAAAACTCAAACCCAGTGTTTGGGTTTTTTTTTTTCTATCAGTGTATCATACTATTGATAGAAAACAATAGTCTTTGTTTCTAGATATTTTATGGGCAATGTTGGAAATTATGGATATCATAAGAAACCTCATTAGAAGAATTCAAAATAAAATTCTGTGAAGAGTGATGAAGCTGGACATATTTTCATACATTCGTTAGCCATCTGGATTTGCCCGTCAACTAACAACAAAATAACATTTTTGCCCATTTTAGTATAGTTACGAATTTGTTAATTTTCAAGTTGAAGAGCTTTTGAAAATCTAGACATTAAATCTTTATCCATCATGAATTCAGAAGTTATTTTTCATTTTATAGAACATCTTTTGAGGTTATATTTTTCCATAAATTCAAAGAAGTATGAATGCAAATTTTTTTCATTAATTTCAGATTACCTGTTTTAAGTCTTTAAAGCACCTGGATAAGATAAATATTCACTTTGTTTCTTGTTTAATTTTTACATAAATACTTTAATCCATTAGGAATTTATTTTTGTGTATAATATCACATAGGTCCTCCATTTTATTTTCTTCCACATGGAGAACCAGTTGTATAGGTACTATTAAATACACCATAATTAAACTGATTGAATAAACCACTGAATTCAAAAAATACATTTATTATAAGTTTTTATATATAAGATATCAAATTTTTGTTCATCTGATTTTATTCCAATACTATACTAGAACAATCATACTAGCTTTGTTATATTTTAATTCCTTTAAAATAAGTTCCCTATCAATTTTTAAATAACTTTTAGCTAATTTCATATATCTAATCCTATCTGTAAATTCGATATTATTTTGGCCAATTCCAAACAAAATAACCATCCTGATTCTAATTCAATTGCATTTATGTCTATGTTAATTATGGAGGTAATTATGATATTGTTTTCTACTCAATAGAAATTTTGTTCTTTCATTTATTCAGTTCTCATTTTATTAGTTTAAAATATATTATATGTCTATTCACAATTTTCTGGTTAATTTCATTAGCCTTTTAAAAATCCTGTCAATAATATGCATAGCTCCATCTTTGGAGCAGAGAGTAGACCCTCTCTAGATACCAAATGTGCTGATATCTTGATCTTAAACTTCCCAGCCTCCAAAACTGTAAGCAGTAAATTTCTGTTGTTTATGAATTACCCAGTCTAGGGTGTTTTGTTACAGAAGCTCAAACGGACTAATAGAGGTCTCATAACATTTCTTTAAGTAAATATGTAGCCCCAGAGCCTTCATTTTAATCTGAGAGAGTTAGCTCCTTATGGTTTACTTTCCAGTTTCCCTCCAGCAATGTTTTTCACTTCTCGTTAGTACAAGGAAAAGATCAAGATCATTCAAAGATAACCCAACCTGGAAAAAAATGTAAATCAAAGAACAGAAGATTATTACTCACAACTTCTTTATACTATAAAGTACATAGTAAAAATATGAAATAAGTCAAATAGGTTCTCAGATTTGAGATATTAAAACACTGAATAGGCTGGAGAGAGATATTTAATATTGAAAAAAAAAACAAACTGAAGACAAAAGTTTGTTGTAGAATTAATAAGAAATAACCAAAATAGATGTTGCTCAAAAGTTAATGGGCATAAATAAAAGGTTTAAGATGTTCAACATAAATGCAGATGGGGAAGACCAAAATCTTAAAGAAACTAAAGAGAAGAAAATATACATAAAAGATAGATCAAAATGAGATGGAATGAGATGGAATAGAAATCCCAACAAATACATCATATCTCTGTAATGTTCTTTGCACAAAGTTACTTGAAATAAAAAACTGAATTTGCAATTAAAGAGCATATTGAAAAAACTGAAGCAGAATGTTCAGTCCTAGGTTAGCCATAAAACTTCAAGGATAAAGGATTACTCAGGCATCTAGATAAAGCAGTTCACCTACATGGATGGAAAAATCAAGCACATCTCAGGCTACTCCACAGAACTAGGCAGTGCCAGAAAACAGTTGCACAATGTTGACAAATGTGATGCAAGAATATAATGCCCAGCCAAGAAGTTATCCAAGTAAAAAGGCAACAGACAGATATTTTTAAACATGAAAAAAACTCAGGAAATGCAGCAGCCATAAATCAATGGCTAAAACTTCAAAGGACTCAATGGCAAAACCTAATCATTTAAGAAAGGAAGCTCAAGAGTGATTAATCATCACTGAATGTATCTACTGAAATTTACAATTTAAAAACAAATTTTTAACTCTAATTCCTGGTCTTTTTTAATGCTGCATTCAAATCTTCATAGATTCTCTTATTTTTTTTCTGTTGTTGCTGTCAAAATTATCTATCTCTACCTGTTTTCTGGCACTGCATGTTGTTACCACAGAGAAAATAAGGCCTTCCTGGTTTTCTTCTAAAGATTTTTCTTATTCTTTCTCTGCATGCTGAGCACCCATAAAGTGCACTTCTAGGTGAATTGCGTTTTCTGTTTGGAATCTTACAGTAAAGTTTAAATGGCTGTGGTTAGACAGAGCAGATCTGAGTCACTATCAAGTTTCCTTCATCTTTTATATAGCACAGAAGGAATCCAAAAGTTTCTATCTCCCCTTCACTGCAGAATCACCTGACATAGCCTTCTCTAAGAGCTGTCTGTTCATGAGAATGTCCACCAGGGAAGCTAAGAATAAGCTGCTACAGTACTTTAGGGCACAATAAATATATTATTAATGGGACTTGTTGCTGTCTTGACCTCCATTAGCCAGAAGTTTGATGATTTGCATGCCATCAGTTTTATGCTAAAACACCAAGAAGGAAGAAAAAAAAAAAAACTGAAGACAATTAGCCCCCTCCCAGTCCCTGGATAAGAAGAATATCAGCTAATTAGTGCATATTCTCTACTCTTCATTCATAGGCAGTAGTGTCTCCCAGGTCCTAGCAGGACCTTCCATGAGTACAGGGACAAGCCTTCCACAAGCATTTCAAAGATCACATAGGCAATGCTCTGCTTAAAATCATCAGTGTTCTGGTGCTCTCTCAAGCCTTTGTGCTACCTCAAGTCACCACGTGCAGCTTACAGGGAGATAAAGCCCTGTGCATACCCTCACCTTCCAGATTTTGGCATAGCACTAAGTTTTGCAATCATTCCCAAGCCTTAGCCACCTTCTGCCGCACTCAGCCGAAATAATTTGACTGTGGTTATGAGGGGAAGAAGTCAGAGATGTGTATTTTGTTAGTGTGGCAGTCATGAAAATGCACCACTCAGATCTCCTGCAGTGTGGAACGCAGTGGATGGAGAGCCTCCACTGCTGTGTCTGCCCCTGGATCCACCCGCTGTGTTTCCATGGAGGCCACACTTCCTACAGGCTACTTCTAGCAAATGACTAAGAATAGTGGAGGCACAAAAGTGGACTTTCCGGTGAAATTCAGGACTCTTTCAACGGGCATCTTTGGCTTAAGGACTCCTGATTGGCCTGGCCAGTCTGAGATTTCTCCTTCTCTCTCTTTTATCACAGATATCAGACCTGCATCTTCCCTTGGGGCAGGCAGTTAGAAGGATGAGGATGAAACCCTGTAAAACTGGTTACTTATAAACAACATTAACATTGACAACAAAGTTTACCAAAAAGACTACTGTATTGTCAACTGAAAGAAATTCTTTAACTTTAAGATACCAAACTTGGCCAAGTTATATTTTTCTCTATTATTTTATTCTGTAAGTTGGGATATTTTACAGGTGCGCAGGACAAAACACATGAACTTTTGCCTGTGGCTAAATGTGAAATAAGACTAATATTTAATAAAAATGAGGTAGAATTTTGAGTGTTTTATGCATATTAATTTATTTAACCTTTATAAAAACTTTATGAAATATTAAAATTATGGTTTCCATTCTGCATATGAAGAAAATGAGGCAGAGAAAGATAAAGTGATGTTTCAAGGCCACATGACAAGGAAGAAGCAGAGTTAGGATTCCACCCTAGAAACTCTGGCTCCTCAGATGGTAAGTTTTGCCATTGTGCCCTACTGTCTCTTCATATACTTTATGAATTGAAGAGGCCTCCTTTTTATATATTCGTGATATGCTCTGTGCTGTAGTTTTCCTTTAGAAACACCAGAACCCCCAAAACATGTACAGGTATTCTATCACTCAATAATTATTCAGCACCTAACATATGCCCAACATTCAGTCACTAGACATATAATGGTGTATTAGTCCATTTTCACACTGCTGATAAAGACATACCTCAGACTGGGAAATTTACAAAAGAAAGGGGTTTCACTGGACTCACAATCATGATGGAAGGCAAGGAGGAGCAAGTCATGTCTTACGTGGATGGCAGCAGGCAAACAGAGAACTTGTGCAGAGAAACGCCCATTTTTAAAACTGTAAGATCTCGTGAGACCCATTCACTATCATGAGAACAGCACGGGAAAGACACACCCCCATGATTCAATCATCTCCCACCAGGTCCCTCCCACAACATGTGGGAATTATGGGAGCTACAAGATGAGATTTGGGTGGGGATATAGAGCCAAACCATATCAAATGGTAAAAAAGGCAGGCAAGTTCTTTATTCTCAGTGGAGTTGTTAGTCCAGTGTCAAACCAGATGCATTATATAAATACAGGTTTCAAACAAGGCTATAAAGAAGGATATAGAGTAGTGTCAGGGAGAGTGACTAGGCAAAAAACTTCTCTCATCAGATGGCATTTCAGCTAAAGGATGAAAAAGGACTATCCATGCAGTTAGCCCAGGAAAGGGCATTATGAGAGAAAAGGATGTTAAGCATGTGAGTGACTATATGTGCTCTGGAAGTGAGATGATGTTGGTATGGATGACGTGTAGCAGTGAAGACAATGAAAACTGGAGTGACTTGGATGATATGGGTGATGTGAAAATCGGGAGAGAGGAGAAGGGAAAAGTAAAGGATATCGCCTATGTTTAGGGCTTCAACAACTAGGAAGACACTGGTACCATTTATCATCAGATGGAAAACTGTATTTGAGAGAAAAATCCAAGACTTCCATTTTAAACATGTTAGAAATTACTAATGGACATTCAATTGAAGGCATCAAGTAGGTAAAATGGAGAAGTCTGCAGGTCAGCGTCTAGCCATGAGGTATTTCTAAGTCCCTCCCCATCAACCACAAAGTGTGATCATTGGATTCTCTGAGCTCTCACAAACTTTGTGCCTTTCTTTTGCCATATATCACATGAAAGTTTTTGAAAAGTATTCTAGGACAGGGATCTCCAACCCCCTGGGCTGGTCTGTAATGTAGCCTGTTAGGAACAGGGCCACACAGCAGAAGGTGAGTGATGGGTTAGCAAGCATTACCACCTGAGCTCCACCTCCTGTCAGATCAGCAGTGGCAACAGATTTTCATAGGAACGTGATCTAGGTTGCATGCTCCTTATGAGAACCTAACTAATGCCTGATAATCTGAGGTGGAACAGTTTCATTCCAAACCATCCCCTCCCATCCCCAACTCCCGTCTGTTGAAAAACTGTCTTCCATGAAACCGGTCCCTAGTGCCAAAAATGTTGGAGATCACTGTTCTAGAACACATGGGGATTTCCATATGAGCCATGCTAAAATATTCAGACAAATAAAAGATGTCAAAGCTTTTCATGCCTAAAGCTTTCAAATTACCCTCTATCTATAAGCATCCAGAAGACGAGAGTTGTCCTTAACCAAATATTTGTGACATCCCTCTACTAGATAAAGCTCATGGTCATCTATATTTATGTTTCTTGTAGCTCCAAAGGCAATGATTTGTACAGAAATTTTGTTTAATAGTGCAATTATTGATATAAATAACTATCAGCAAGAATGTTTTTCGGAATACAGTTTTGCTGTTTTTCTTATAGGGTATTTGCTTATCTTTGAATAAGCATGGAGGGGAGAAGAAATGATTGACTAACAAGCTCTAAAGATACTATACTATACTGTGGAAAGAAAAAAAAAAACACCATCCCTTCCAAAGGAATCTGTTTGTGTAATGTCTGATAATTAATGAGTATCTGTAAAGGACACCAGAAGCAAGAAGCAAATGTTAGTAGACAATTTGTCAAAGTTATAAATAGGTTTAAATCACTCTATGGTAGAATTAACTTAAAAGTTTTAACACATTTTGTCATTTTTACAGACATACCTTAAGAAAATTTTCATACATTAAATGTGTATATTTTACCTCAGTTGTAACATTCAATGAAATATTTTATCATCCTGTACATAATCATATAAATAAATGAAACTATTTTTTTCTGTGTGTTTTTTCTTTTGTCATATTCTTTTTATTTTTATTTTTTTGAAGTGAAATATATTTCAAAGTTATCCAAGAAGTTGTACTACTTATAGGATTAATTATATAGTTTCTGTTCTGAAATTATGATTTGATTTTAAAGATTCTGCCAGTCTCTCTGTATTTTAGATTATCACACAAGCTCTAGGCTGAGAGACACAAAGGTGAAAAAAGTAACCTACTTACCCTTTAAGTTTATTACTTTCAAAAGTGGCTGGTGTTTGATTTCACGTGATGTTACATAACATGACTTCCAGGAGACAATTTACAGCCTTGACATAGTAAGGTGGGCTGCTTAAGCTCAACGCAGTACTGCTGTTTTATGTAAGTCACTGTCAGGCATATTTATTATCAATACCTAAGGCATGCCAAACAGCTGCACTTGCTCTCTTTGAAATATTTTGAACATTTTTTATGGACCTATTAGCACTAATAATAATTTTCAACATGAACTGATAAAACCAGATTTGTGACTGTTGTGACCCCTCCAGCAGGCATGCCTTTTCTGAGGTAAATGCATAGTACCTCTGTTCAAGTTTAATCCCTTAAAATAACAGCTTTAACTTCATCTCTGTCAGTGCTGGTACTGCTAATACTGTTTTTTTCAGCAGCTGTGAGCACTAATATATGTGAGGTGCTCCTTGGACTATAATAATCACATCTCCCCATTGTGTTTACAGTCTCTTTTATACAGGGTCCAGGAGGATATTTGCTCACACAGTTACATAGATTCACTTTCTTAGAGACATGAGATAGAAGCCAGATGTGGGTTATTAACTAATTATTGACTATAATAATGATGATGCCTTAAATATCATATGACTATAGGAAAACAGAAATGTTACGTATATAATAGACACATATCATTTTATTTTCTCACACATCCTGTGAATCAGACACTATTATATCTATTTTCAACTTGAGAAAAACTCAAGTTCAGCGAGCCAATTAACTACTCACTGAAGTCAAACAGCTAGGAAGTCATAAACCCTAGACTCCAACCCATGTATTTTGATTGCATATGTTTTCATGGTACAAATCCTAATTTTGAGCCCAAGCTCAATTTATAACATTGACCAAGACTCAGAAGGAACATATAAAATTTTTAAACCTTTTAAAAACAGTTACTTAAAAGCAGTTTAAGAAATTCATGTAATTAATGACAATTCAATTGCCTCCCCAGAAGTACCAAAATTACTTTGTAATTTTGCAAAAACATTAATTGAAATAAAATTTAAAAGAACTAAACTTTGTTTAAAAGAATCACAAAGGTTTTATGAAATGATATTTCCATTGTTTTAAACTCAAAACACTGTTTTTATTGGATCTAAAGGTAAGAACACAGTATCTCAAGATTTTGCATATTGAAGAAGGGCTCATGCACTTACAGACATCTTTATGTCAGATAGACACAGATCCTTTGATTAAAATCAATCTCATAGGCCAGAGCCAGAGCTTCCAGAGATAATAAGAAAGTTTCATTTCTGGAGGAGGGCTGATTTTCTCTCCAATCCTACACATTGTACCACTTTAACAAACAAACAGTGCCCAAGTTGTGTTGTACTAACTTCTGCTTACTTATAGTGGTATCCTTTGAAAGATCTCAAGAGTATACAAGGATAAAGTATGTTATTCAAAAAATGCATACCCGAAGCTAGCTATTGTCTCTTGGAAACTGTGAAGCCTCTTCTCACTTACTCAGTTCTTTATTCTTAATGTTTCTTAAATTTATACATAAATATGTATTCTATCCCATATAAAAATATTATAGTAAAGCAAAAAATGTCACACAAACCAGTTGCAGAGTACAAGGTACATAGTATTAAAGATAAGAGGAAATGAATTCACAAACAAAAATGCCTTCCCATTTCAATGAGCACTTCTACTGTGAACTGCTATAAGCAATAAGGGAAAAGAGGAATGTGTGGCTGAATCTCCTCCAGTAAAATCTTTGATGATCACAAAACACAATCCAATGTGACTAAGCAGACTGACAGAGTTTTGATTTTGTAAATAGAAGATAAAACTCAAAATATGCATCTTAGTTG
The DNA here is from genome assembly GCF_000001405.40 of Homo sapiens. Taxonomy (NCBI): domain Eukaryota; kingdom Metazoa; phylum Chordata; class Mammalia; order Primates; family Hominidae; genus Homo; species Homo sapiens. Next base: position 111,695,721 of record NC_000004.12, read on the forward strand.
TAATATAATTCAGGAAGAACCAAAGCAGCAAGAAGATTAAAAAAGTAAGATGCAAGAACAATCCATTTTTCTTGTAAGAGATGAATTCAGCAATTTGAGAAATGTGCTGGACGTAAAAAGCGTTAAAAGGCTGAAGTTGCCAGAGTTTATGCTTGGTCAGCACAACCTGTTATAAAAATTTGGCTTTTGTTGCTGAAAGAATACTATTTGCATATATATGTAACATATGATATATATACTTATATATGTATATTATATATACCCATATGTATATGCATATTAAGAGACCATAATGGCTGGTTTGAACTAAAGAACAAATATTGGCTGTTTATTTCATATAGAAATTACTTTAGAATCGCATATGCTATTCTGATGTTTCTATGTATACCTATACATACATACATATAGTATGCATGTATGTGTGTGTACACACACACGTGATGTTGTTAGCATAAACCTTTAAGTGACTCAGGCACTTCTGTATATGTACATGGCATCTTCTTGTAACATCAACATTTTTCTCAACTCATTTGGAGACGTCCCTAACTCACCTTTTTCCTCTGCTTATGTGGTTTATCTTATCATTATGATTTCAATTTCCATGTTTCCAATTTTGTCACATAATCCATCTCTCTGTGAAAAAATAAATTCTTTCACAAAGATAGTTAACCTACTAAAATTGTGAGAATGAACATATTTTTAAAATATTCATCATAGCAGTTATTTGAATGGAAAAAATGGCTAGCATAGTTAAAACACCTATTGAGCTACCTCCTTTCAATTTTCTTGTGTCTTAAAGCCTTTTGGTTTTACACGGGCATCAGACTAGCCATTGTAAAGTATGGTTTCATTTACAGTCATATCACAAAATAAGATTACTTTCGTTGACTGTGAGATTAGAGCCTTCCCCACAAATGTGTATTTTATAGCTACTGTTAGGTGTAAGCAATCATAGCTTAAAACTGGAAGCAAACACACAGAAATCATCCAGTTGATTCAGGCTAGAGGCTCTTAGGCAAGTCACTCTTCATTTGCCCAAGTCAAGATAAGCAGTGCTAACATTCTCATTATTCATCAATAAAACAAGAAGGATGAAAAGAATAGGAGGGCACTGAATGTGATAAATGCCAAATAAAATATTTGGGAAAAGTGAATGTAGAAGGTGGAGATTAAAATACAACATATCCTTGGGTCACTCAGTTAAAAGGCTGTGTACATTCATCAGGGAACTCTATAGTGTTTGGTGAGCACATTAATAGACCTAAGGGAATCCTGACGGAGGTAATATAAACACCCAGTCCTTGTCATATATCATCACCAAGTATTATAAACTATCCTTAGGAAAACCATGTGTTTTTCCAACATTAAAAAAATGTGCAAAATTTCGGGTCATGATACCAGCCTTTTGAGGAGAATTTTTAACCTACTGATACTCTTGTCAAACACAGACTGCAATAAATATTGAGATAAAAAGTTTAATCAAGAAAATATGTGTTTATTCATATACTATGCTATCTAAGAAAAGTAATACAACTGGTATCTCCAATAAACAAATAAGACACGATATCAAGAATGCAAGATTAGTTCTTTTGGAATTTTGCTGACAAAATATGCAGCATTGTTTGAGACAAAAGAAAACATAAATATAGTGGGGGCATGTATTGACTTGCAACATATAACATGTTCAGCTTCAGTGCACCCTAATGTGTTATATGATACTTTTAACACTAAAGAAGACTCACCAATAGAAACGTGTACTATAGGCAGGCCACTCACTGACATTTTTGTTTGCCCTCTGAAAAATAATCTAACTTCAGTAGAACAAAGAGACAAAAAGAAGAAAAACAAATAACTGCAAGATTCCCTTCTGGCACACTTAATAAGATGGGCAGGGATAAGTTACTAAAATTTTATGGGAGGTCTTTTAAGCACCATGGCATGGTCATTAACCATTGGAAAGTATTAGCAACCAAAGATCATCCAAATGCATAGCAAACTGTGTGTCATGCCAACCATGATGAAACAAAACAGAACTGAATACATAAAGAACACCCATAAAAATGGCTAACCAGCTGACAAATTGCAGATGAAATTTGTAGTTAAATATAACCTCAGTAAAAATTCTGATTTTACTCCTTTATCTAACAGTAAACAGTCAAGTATTTCCATGTTAAATACAAAATCTATGTCTTTAAAATGATACCACTGCATACTGAGGCATGTTTACTGCAAAGCTATTCAAACTTAAGCATTTCTCACTTTCACCAACCCCTTCCTGGACTCTGAAGTTTATATAGTTTTGCAGAATACTCTAAAGTAAGATATGCTTTCTTAATTTGGTTAAGAAATCTCTCTCCTTTGACTCCAACTTCCCTCTATATTTATCCCCTAATTTTGACTAACAGTAGAGTGGCCAAATACATTTTTGAGATCCAGCTAAGGGGAAATTATTTGGAGAAATGTTTAGTTTAGATTTACTGGAATATATTTTAGGGACTGGCAGTGATTTCTGTGTATACTTTAGGTATTGTCAGTCAAAAGAATAGTTCCTACTAATCCTCCTACCAACCATTTGCAGAGCCAGAGATAATACCATGATATGAATATGTCCTTGAAGACCTAGAAATGGGAGTATGTGCATAGTGGAGCAGGAAAAGGGAAGGGAAGGGAAGGAAAGGGAAGGGAAGGGAAGGAAAGGGAAGGGAAGGGGAAGAAGGGGGGAAGTGGGAGGGAGGGGGGAGGAAGGAGGGGGGGGAAGCAGGGAGGGAGGGAGGGAAGGAAGAAAGGAAGGAAGAAAGGAAGAAAGGAAGGAAGAAAGGAAGGAAGGAAAATGAATGAAGCTTGAATGTAGCCTTTGGATAATTTTCTAATCAACAGACATGTAAAGTTATGAGTGGGGGATTTGCTTCTCATCAATACCTAGATAAAACATAAATTCACTCTCATCATTAAAGGATTAGAATCAGTAGTTCATCATAGTAACTATACACACACTAAACATTTTATTTATTTATGGGAATTGCATTGGAATGTGATCAGAAATCCTGTTTGTAGAACAGAAGCCCAGCAGTACTGCTTCACCTCAAAATTTGTGAGTAAAATCACCTGCTTTCTCCATGCCAACATATTGGATCATGTCTAAGTATATCTGACTCCTTGTGGCCTGATGAAGTCTAAGGGTTTCAGAATAAAAGGCATGCAAACTGCTACAGATCTAGCAAGCCAATATGAAGAAATAAACATTCAGCACTGAAATTCTTCACATATTAATTGATCAAACGATGCATGTAGTATCAGTGCTTGAGTACACCATCATGAAGTTCAGTACTCCCAATTTGGAACAAATGAAGGGTAACTTTTAGTCATTATTAAATTTATTTATGGAAAAAACTAAGAAAATTCTGATTAAAATTAGTAGAATACAAAACAATATAATAAAAAAGCAAGGGAAGCAGTGGAATTTACCTTGACATTGAAAAGTAAATTATGACAAAGAATTAGACCATGCTATCAGTAATAATTCCTTAAGAGATACATTTTGAAAAGCAGTAATGAAAAGACTTTTAGATTATTTGAAAATCCAATAAATGAAGAAAAGTAAATCTTATATTAGTAAAGACTTTTTTGCTGATTGGACACAAAATGCTGACATGAAAAAAATAACTACAAATCTCACAATTAGCCTTTACAATAAGGACATAGTAGAGAAAAAACTGGTTAATGCAAGGAGTATTTAAAATTAATTGTTGCATAAATGGCCTTCAAAAGCCATGAAATCTTATAGCCCAAACATGAAAGAAAGTTAACAGTTTTGCCAAATTTGAGAATAAGACTAAAAATGTATTTGACATTACTAAAATGAATCATGAATCTAACAGTTTTCAGATCTGTCAACAAAAAAAGACTGCCAATAAAAAAGACTGAATTACCTTTCTATTTGAAGAAATTACAAAATCACTGTCATATGAGAAGATAATCAAATAGTACACAGGATGTTTCCTATGAAAAAATTAAAATAAATATCTTATGGATGTGTAAGCAGTTAATTAAAATTCTACACTTTTAAATGGATTTTAAATATTTTTTAGATATTTTGGCTTTTTCACATTTTTACTTTTTTGTGATTACTTATTCTAATTCTCACTTCTGAGCCTACATTTTTATTTTTAATGTTGGATTACTTTTGATAAGGACAGTCCCTAAAATTGCACAAATAGGTTTCACATGGCATAAAATCTAGATTCATACACAGAGCCTTCTGGACTTGAAATTGTAGGAGCTGGATTTAATTTTCTGTTCAGTAATTTCCAAGAGAGATAACATTAAGTTATAATAAACATAACTCTATAATATTGTTGTGAAAATAAATAAAATACACATACTATAGTCTATTAAAATGTATAAAGCTTTATAATATAAAGATTTATTTTTACTATTGTGCAATTGAATTTCTTTCTAAAATGATGATTGGACAGGGCATGAAGCTGCATCTATAATAAGAGACAAGGAAAGTTGGCTTAAATCACATGACTTAACTAAAGCATATGGAAGAGCTTTCCAACAGTGAAAACTTCAAAATGTGGCCATGAATTAATACAGGAAATTATGAGGCTATAATATAATCTCTGAAAGTTAAATCTCTTTGAAGACTCAAACTAAATTATTTAAATTCTTCATGATCTAAATGGGTTTGAAATTTCACTTAAAAAGATGACATTTTAGGGCTATTTATTTACTTTTTACTATAAAAATAACAAAGGGCCATGTTGGGAAATTACAAAACAATAAAAGACAAAATCCCTATCATCTACAAGCTAGTGATTTTAACTTATATAGTGAGAAGACATATATAATAACTCTTGAAATATAAATGAAATAACACCTCATGTCATCACAGTGCAAAATACTAGTCCTATGAACTTTCTTATTATAGTCACTTCCACCGCTGGCATTTGTAGCACGATTTCCCACATGTCACCTCCCTTCGTGGCTTGTTTAGTCCAATGCTATTTTTTATTTTAGCATCTTCATCTGCTTTTCATCACCAACATGTTTGAGTTTCTGGCTTTGTGTCATTTGTCATGAAATTCTCGCCTTGTGTGTATTTACTAAGCGGAGAAAGATTTGATAGCCTCCACTAATATATAATTTAGTTTAATATTTATACTTGTTGTCAAATAACCTGGTAACTGTTTCATGTCATCTCATGTATGCATACTCACTTCCTAACTTAAATGTAAACTTATTTCATATATAGTGTATTTACGTGTATTTCATATACAGTATACATATTTTATATGAGCCATAAGATGGTATTAGATTCAACTACAATTAATAGTAGAATCCAAATTCACAATGGTCAGAGCAAGAAAGAAGTTTGTTTCTCACATATATGAATTCCGGGGAGAGAGGCCATGGTGCAGTGGCTCTGTCCCACAAAGTCCTTAGGAAGCCATCTCCTATGGCTACTGCATTACAAACTCCAGTGGGGCACTATTCATAGAGGTCATGTAGATCGTTGCCCACTGGAATTGCACAACAGTGCAGCCCTCTGGGGTTCCTCCAGCCACCACTCCAACACTCTTGGGTGTGGCCTCATGCTTATGGTCCAAGAGGATCCACACATGTGTTTCAGACAGCAAAATGAGAACAGAAAATAAGAGGACAGAGTGTATGTCCATTTCTCTCTTCGCAAAATTTCCTAGAAAGTGCCATAGAACATGTTGCTTGCAGCCTATTATGCAGTGCATTTAACATCCACATGCTCATATCTCCCTGGAAGAAAAGCCAGGAATTGCATTCTATGTTCCGTCAAGCCATAGGTCAATACAGGAAGAAAGAAATGACAGAAAATAGGGAAAAAAAATGAAATGAAGCTGCTGTTGTGAGAAAGACAACAAAGCAAACGAGATTTAAAAATTGGGGGAAGATTTGTCCTATTTTGCTTGGACTATGAATCAATAAAAGGAGGCTTATTGAAAATAAAAATTTTTGCGCAAAATAGACAATCATGCAATAAAATGTACGTTCACATAAATTCATAAAAAATTTTAAAAGATATTCTGATTTTTTCAGTGATGTAAAAGTACATTTGCCTACCAGGAGATGATTCTGAGGAATAATGAGCATTTTAAAAATTTTTAAAACATCAATTACATTATTTTGTGCCCTACTCACTCAATACATTTTTCATTGAAAAATGAAAATTTTTTTATTGAATGAAATAATTTCCAAAAAATATGCTGGAGAATCTCAGACTTTCCATCTTAACAGCTGGTGTGCAAAACCCCCTCTCCATCTTCCTCACTAGAACTGGCATAAACATTACCTTATTGAAATGACATAGCCAGAAGGACATAAAACAAGATGTAGCTAGAGATGTCTGGAACTTATCGTTGAACTACAGCACTTGAATATAAATGGTCTCTGCAAGTCTAAATCCTTTATGGGAAAAAGGGAGCAAGGAATATGAATAAGATTTTTTTTGACTTTGAGAAATAAAGCATTCTTTCCTTTCCACTCTGATTCTCTCCTCAATTCTCTGAGAAAGGAGTTAAACCTAAAATTAGAGCTAGAAAGGAATTTCAGTGACCTTTCACCAGCAAATGGCCCCATGTGCACCTGTGAGACACCTTTACTGGAACTGCAGACACAATTGGGATATGTTCATTGCAACTTAGAACAGATGGAACCAGTATAGGCAAAAAGTAATTTCTTATATAAGTCAATGAATTTAAACCTGTCTGATGTTGTCCAAGAGTAATTTGGAATGGATTCAGATAGTTCCAAACCACAGTATTTGGGCTTTAGCATGATCTTGTCTGGTAATGATTTAAATTTGATAAAAAGCCAGAGTTCCAACATTTTTACCCCCTTTCCCAAAATTGATGTAGAGAGTTAGGAATTTATCATTCACCAAAATCATTTTTGTATTGCTATCCTACCATTTTACAGATAGATCATATTTTCAAGAAAAAGAAAAACTAATTTGCTGTTCATATTTTCCATTTGTAAAACCCATAACAAATATTTAACTTTCTGATGGTTAACTCTATACAAGCTTGTTTCAGTTAGTAGACAGAAATGTGACTCTATCTGTGGCTCACAAAAGCCCCATGCATGGCACAACACAATTTTGAAAAGAGACAGATGGAAAGAGTTTATTCTCCATGTGAAAAGCTATAATTTATTTCTTGGTAAATAAATAAATTAAAGACCACTCACATTTTGGATTTGACCAGAAACAAATGTGAAGAGCCCTCTCTAGCCTACAATGATAGCTTCAGCATCCTGTTATGTAAATAAAACTTGAGCCAGCCATTGACATTGGTGTTTATTGAATAATCAACAGTAGAAGGGCTTGATTCCTTCTACTAGGCATTGGGAGCCTGTGACAATAAGCAAATATACTAGGTCGACGTCTCATGGCTCTGATAAAATAGTTAATATGACTTTCACATTGATAGGAATAGGAAATTACAGACTTTTTATTCTGAATGACATCATATTACATGAAAAAGGGATGTAGGGATTGGTGTATATAAGTCTTCTCAACTTAATTATGAGCAATTTTATTTTTCCAATCCCCTTATACATTTTTCACATAACATGCTTTCAAATCTCCCCAACATTACGGTCATTCCTGAATAAATGAGAGTGTATATCTTCTTTGAAGTATAATGTCCCAAACTGAGCATCATGATTTAAGCATGATGTGATTGTTGCAGAATAATGGGTCTAATACCAAACTACCAAGCTTTGTATGATTTTTTCTTTTAAATTAAAGCAAGTGTCATGGCAACTATTTATAGAACATTAACAATCATCATCATTATCATCATCTAAAGGGAAGAAACACACAATTCTGCAAACTCACCAGTTCATGAACTCCACCTGAGATAGGAATGATGTCTGATTCAACTGCTTTCTTAGCATCTGCATTCTTCCTGGGAGATAGTGCTCAATAAATGTTTGCTAATGAATTCTACTACGGTAATGTATTTGGACCAAACACATTATCAGAACTATCCAGAAAGGAATTGTATGACTCAGAGGAAGAGGGTGATCTGCGGAGAAACCGCCTTTCTGGAACAGTAGTGAGCAGAAGACTGATAAATTATTCAAAACACCTGTGCACGGATTTTTCCCCTTCCGAAATGAGTATGTGGCCTTGCTCACACTGGTTCAAGAATTGAGACAATCCTGTTTGTAAGCATTCCCTTAAATAGACCCACCTGGATTTTTGGTGGAAGGCACTCCAACTGGTGAGTATAAAGAGCCAAACACTGAGCACCTGGGATCTGACACGTATAAGTCACGGTCATTGTTGTGTTAGTTAAGGGAAGCTCAGCTGAGATGAGTTCCTACCTTGTATGAACTTGTTACTACCAATAAGGATTTACATATTTACCTAAATGACTTGGGAACTCTTTTACCCTCATACTTTCTGTGTGTATGTATATATATGCATGTCTCTATCTCTTCCTGGTCACCTGGAACTCACGATTCTTGCAGCTGTAAATTTTAAAACCTGCCACATTAGTAGCTATTAACACCCTCTGCAAATAAGTACAGGCGTCTTAAGCAAAGTTCAAAAACAAAAATTGTAATATTTTGTTTTTAAGAAACATTTAATGAGATATACATAGAAAAAAAAGTTTAAATGTAAATAATGGGAACTAAAATGTATTCATCTGAGTCAAATAAGGAAATCAGGATTTTTAGTTGTGCTGACGAAATGCCATAAAAGGCCAAAATGTATTTTGGTATATATAAGGATAAAATTCTAACAATTTTCAAGATAGATCTATAGATAGATACACAGACATTTCCATTCCAAAACATGATTAAGCACCCAGGGTTTCAGGACCACATATACAAGCAGAGGCTGGGATTTTCATGAATAACTGAGGGTAAGAGCCAACACTAGAGATCTTGCACCAGGTAAGAAGCTAGAACTTACAAGCCAATGTCTATCCACAAATCTAGGGACCAGAATGAGCTGTCTCTTCCGTGAAATGGGAACTAGAGTAAGTAAATTAGAAAAAAATAAATAAATCTGTACACTGGCATGGAGATGTAGCACAGATGTAGGCCACATACTATGGGCCATGAGTTCAAAAAAATGACTGCCCTGCACAGAAAGCGTAGAGCCCAAGCACACACTTATCTATAAGGTAAAGAAACCCAATAAACCCCTTATCAAGAAGAAAAACAAAATAGCTGATCAAGAATCAATTAAACCCGTATGGATAAGACAGAAATAAACTTGGGGGGATAATTGCTGCCTCTACAACTTAGGTCATGCACAGGACTCCCACAAGTTGGCAATTTTCACCGAAGAATATACAATTAAAATTTGTAACAGCAAGAGGCAGAAATATATCACGAGAGAGTCAATACATTCAAAAACCAAGAAGTCTCACACCCAAAATAGAAGGGCAATCTAAAAACGACTTTAAAATAAGTGTCAATAAAATGTTTAAATGAATAAACAAAGTGACAAAATCAGGAGGAAGATTGAGGATGAAGTTTATACATTGTTCAATTAAATATATATGTAGATACAGTATATATAGAAAATACTTTATACAGTTTATATTTATAATATGCATTATATATAATGATATATAGATATATAGATATAGATATATAGAGAGAGACCTTTTAAACTTCCAAATCACAGGCATGAAGTGGAGGAGAACAATTCAGAGAAAGAGAGATAAAACAATAAAACAACAATAACAAATAAAAATCCAGGAAAAACATAGCATAAGGTAATAGAATTATAATCAAACACATTAACAATTAGAATATATGAAAATCAATTAAACATTAAAGTCAAAATTCTGATACTGGATTACCTACAACATCACTATATTTACCAAAGACAAGTTTATAACACAATGAGACAGAAATGTTAACATAAAATGATGGGGAATAAGACCAGGCAAATATTTACCAAAACAACGCTTTGATAGAAATAAAAGACAAAAAATATGAATAAGGATAAAACATGATCTTATTCATTCATAAAGGAAACAATGGTCTAAAAAGACATAACAATCATAAGTATGAATATTTCTTAAAATAAAGTCTCAAACATCAAGGCCAAAACCTGACAAAAATAACAAGAAGAAAATAAAAAATAGGTAACACCTTGGATTTCCACATACTTCTTTCCGAAAATACATAGAATATTAGTAGGGATGTAGGTTAAAACAACACAATTAACAATCTTGATTTAACAGATATATGTAGAACCATTACCTAACAAATGGAGAAAGTGCATTTTTTAAAATATATATGAATTATTTTCAAAATTGATCCTGTAGCAATCAATAAAGGAAGCTTAATGTTTTATCAGTGGGAAAAAATAGAATCTTGTAGAAATCTCAAGGGAAGCCACTAGGGAGTTTTAAATTAGAAGCGATATGATCCTCTCAATTTTAAGGATCATCATGACTGCAGTATTGAAAAGAAGTTGTAGGACTGAAGAAGGACTAAAGATGACACAGACAGTCGAGATTACTTAATAAACGAACAGTAGGTTGAAGAAGACAGAAAAAAAATTAGTGCAAACGAAATAGTGGAAAAACTAATCATGAATGAAATACTCACTTCATAGAAATTACATAGAAACATACATAACATAGAAATATAAGTGCTATGTAGAACAAAATGGTAGTCTTCTCCAGAGTAAATGCAAAAGCAGGGATACAATATATGTAAGTTTTCTGAACTATTTTCTAGTTTAGGGGGAAAAAAATGTTAAGGGTTGGAATAAAGCCAAGAAGCTACATCAGTGTGGCAGCCCTGCTGAATCAGTTGCCTGGTAGTTTTACCACTCTCTCACGGTCTTTGAAATTAATTATGATATTGGGCTTGTTGGGGTCTTCCATATCACAATGCCTTCAAAAGAAAAAAAAAAGACCCAGTGTTTACTTACTGACATTGGGTTAATTTATCAAAAAGTTCACTTAACAAGGTAATTTATTATCTTTTACCATATATAATACAGATAATTCTAAGTTATCCAAAGAAAACAGTAAAATCTTCCATCTTCTAGAGAAAACTTAAATGGATAAGGAATTAGCAAAAGGAGAGTAAGAGAGAAAATACCTTTTGTTTAACTGCTGAGCTTTATATGAAGGGTTAGAACAGAATTTTCTGAAGTTTGGCCACTTAAAGGACTTAGACCTATTTAATGACATTCTTCTAATTTTGAAACATCTTTCCCTTCTCAAAAGAAGTGGTCACAAGTGGTAGAGTGTTAGCTAAGCTTAAAATCACTTAGATTTACAATGCAATTTTTAAAATTATAAATCAGTAAAGATAAAATTTTAAGTTGACAAATAACTGTATATATATATATATATACATATATATATATATTTATTACAAAATTTAACCACATTCTTTGTTTGCTTCTTCTTTGTCCCCCATAGAAGAATATACACACATACTTACCCTACACATTTAAAATTTTTATGATTCTAAAGGTATTTTTCCCACAATTTACATAAAGTTTCCCTGTTATCCATTAAAGTGAGTATTCTAACTCTTTTGATATTTCACAACTTTTCTGGTGGAGGCCTTAAAAATTTATAATTTCTTCCATTATGTAGTCATTTGATATAATTTAGAATTGTTGATTTTTCTCTTAACTATCCTATGTCATAGCATCATGGTGGTAAAACACCACCATCAAACTAAAAATCATATACACTGCTTAAATACTTATAAACTAGAAAATATATCATAGGAAAAATGTGACCACTAAATTGTTTGTTGAATAACATGCCTATAAAAAGAAAATAATTTAGATTTAAGCTGATAGTTACATAGAGTAAAAGAAATATTTGGATGTCCTTTGAGATTATTCATTTCAACAAAGTCTGTCATGCCCAATAAGTACCAAATGACAGTGTGGGAACATGTGAAACTGAAACTGGACTGTTAAAGAAATCTTAGCAGAAATATGGAAAATCAGAATATGAAATGTACAAACCCCAGCTAAGTCATAGACTATCATTTTCATTATCTGTCACCTGACAGCAGATTATCTACTCCTAAACTGTGTTTAAAGTATCTCATAAACTTAAATGATGTTAAGGGCAAATGTTTATATTAAAGTATCCATAAAAAGAACTAAATTTGTAAAAATGAGACTCAAAATAACTTACATAATTTTAATACAAATCATTTAAAATTGAATTTTGCTTAGAGAAGAGTTTTCTAAAAAGGAATAATGAAAAACTGTATTTATTTATGTTTTTTAATTATTAATTTTTTTTTTTTTGAGACAGAGTCCACTCTGTTGCCCAGGCTGGAGTGCAGTGGTGCAATCTCGGTTCACTGCAACCTCTGCCTGCCAGGTTCAAGTGATTCTCGTACCTCAGTCTCCTGAGTGGCAGGGACTAGAGGTGCCCACCACCACACCTGGCTAATTTTTTGTATTTTTAGTAGAGACAGGCTTTCACCATGTTGGTTGGCCTGGTCTCAAACTCCTGACCTCAATAACCTGCCAGCCTCAGCCTCCCAGAGTGCTCAGATTACAGGTGTAAGCCACCATGCCCGGCCAAAAACTGTATTTACTAAAATATTTTATTACTCTTTTATATGTTTGTATACCAAAATAATGCCAGAATTATGTTTAAACAAATGTATTTATATTCATGTATTTATGGCTTTACCAGTACAAGGCATTAGGTTAAGGCTGTGTAGCAATATAAGGATGAATAAAATTACCATTTCTTTCCTTAAAAACTTCATAACAGGGAAGCCGTACACACAAGTAAATATCACAGCTTACAGACTTAAGTCTGCCATAGGTGAGGTTGATATTGTTACAGAGGTCATTTTTCACTCAGTCATTCAACAGTAATAAAGGATTGCCTCTTAAGTGCCTGCCACTCTTCTAGGTATGATGGATAGAGAGAACAAGACTAACAACGAATGAATAAATAACTTCACAGGATTATTTCAAATAATAATAAGTACAATCAATAATTTCAAAGAGTGCTACTAAGATATAGAACTAGAGAGTAGCTGATTGTCCTATTGTGGAGAGCTATGGAACTGGTGGATAATTAAGAGCTACCACCCTCTGTGTGAGCAGAAATTGTTTTGGTTTATATTTAATAGGGATCAGCCATTCAAAGCCTCTTTCTTCTACCTAATCACATTTATGGCATTGTTATAATATAAACTAAGATGCTTCCCTTAAAGTACATCATGCAATTATTTCACAGCAAGGAGCTTAGCTTTAGTTATAGATGATCATTTCTGCTTTCTTCTTTTCCTGATCCTCATAAAATATTGTTCAAGTATCTTCCCTAATATCTAGATTCTGTAACTTTCTAGACTGTTAGATTGTTATGATCTAGATTCATCAACTTTCCTTGATGCTAAAAAAGGTCCATTTGTTTCTGTCCAGAACATGTGAATATATCATGTTCACATTTAATATATTTAAAATAAATGACCTCTGAGGAATAGAGGGCTGTGCAGCTTGAACATCTCCAAGGACAAGGCTAAATACTAACTTCTTTGGCAGCAGTTCTGTCCTCAGGCAGACATATCTATGAGCTTTGCAGAGAGACTCTTGCCTCCTAGGACTCATGAAAAGGCAATGAAAATTATGGCTCTTATTCCTGCACAAATATTTCACGTGTAGAAAATGCCAGGGAAGCTTCTATTATTAGAAGTAATTGCACATTCTAGAAAAGTTGCATTTACCACATACATTTTAATTCAACATATGCCCAGCTATTGCAATTCCAGACACAACTTATATGGCATTTCAGGCTTTGTTCAATTATTCTTCCCAACTAGTTAATAAGGTAAATAGAAAAATAATTATTATCCCTATTCTCTCTAGAAGAGTAAACCAAAACTCAGGCAGGGTAACACAAACAATCATGGATTAAGAACTCTAAGCCAAGTTTTAAATTCTTAGTCCAGTGTTACTTTCACTATGTCAGAATGGCTGTGCAATGATAAATTTTATATACTGGAAGAATAATTCCTTTCACTTACATGTCTACAGTACTTGTGCATAAAAATTAGACTATCTTTCCATATAGAACTAAATGATAAATGCATAGCAGAGAGATTTTTAAACAGCGAAAATAATGTTACAATTTTCTAATTCATAGGCATGAACACTGTTTTCGAAGTAAAAGGGAAAAACAATGACTTTCTTGCAGTATTAAAATTTTACAAACCAACTTCTCTGTTTTCTAAGATTTTTCTTACAATCTTGCTTAATAGTCTTAAACCCTTTTTGTATACTACATAGCATTAGTTTTCATATAATATGTCCACAATAATTCTGATACTTAGGAAAGTATTATCTCTATTTTATGGGTAGCTTGGCATAGAAAGATTAAGTGACTGGCACATAGGCCAGTATTTTGCATTACACTGTAGTACATTTTTTGCCCTACTATATTTTGCACAAGATGAGATTTTCTGGTAGTGTTGAGACTAGTACCTCATCACACTTAATGCAGAAAATTTGATCTACACTTTGGAAAAAAAGAATAGAGAGTAGCTATTGACAAAGGGAAGCAATCCCAGGAAATTTCAAAAGTAAAATAAACTTCCTTAATTGTTGAACTCCCTTGATCAGGTTACGTCTTCATATCAAATGCTTTTGTAATGTCTAATATCAATCTCTATCACTGAAGTTACTGGCCTTGAAGAAGGGACTACTTCTTACTCACCTGTGTGTATCACAAGGATTAAATCTGGTAAATATAGGCACTCAATAAATTCTTGATGCTTAGTTAGTAAATTAATTATATTCTTTTTATTTTTAATATTTTTAGATAATAAAAATTCTTCAGTTAAAGACATTAATCTCCCTGGCCAACATAGCCAGGATAGTTAATGTGGCTGCCTAAGGTAGATATATTACAGCTTTTTCTTTATATTATTATTTAATATTTTTAGAGAGAGGAGTCTATGTTGGCCAGGCTGGTCTGGAACTCCTGGCCTCAAGTGATCCTCCCACCTCAGCCTCTCAAAGTGCTGGGATCATAGGCATGAGCCACTGTACCCAGCCCATCATCTTAACATTCTTAACCTTTATGTTTTCAAAACAATCTTAAAGATTATTTTTGCAAGGTGTTTATAATGATTTTTAAATATGGTTTTATTATTTAAGACTTCCAGTCATTAAAATATCCCAAAACTCCTGTACTCCATTGAGACCATATTGATTCCTTAGAGAATAGAAATGGTGTCTGTGATTGTATATGAGAAAAATAAGTGAAAACTGATCAACTATCCAATTGGGATGGAGGAAGAAAGAGCATGTAGCCATAAGCTTTCATCAACTACTCTTTCCTTTCAGTTGCTGAGGTTATCAGATGCTCTTCCATTCATAATCACTGAGTGACTTTTCAACTTCAAATACCATAAGATGGCCAGTGAAGAGGTCTAGATCTAATCATTTTCCTTCTAAAAACAGCTTTGTAAGATGAATGTGAAAGCAAAAGAAATTTGATCCGCCACTGATCCCACTTGGATTTAAATTAAGATACACTATGTGTTAAAATTCACTCTTAAAGCTTAAAGACAAATGCATCTGTGGTTTGCTTCCCAGGGCTTTCTTCCTAATCTGCCACTGACAGTGAAGCCAACATTGTAAGAACAGTGTGACAGTGACAATTTACCAATGACTGAGACAGGTTTTGAACAATTGCTGAAAGTCTAGGGCAGGATTTTCTTAGAATGACAGTCGCATTGAAATATCTGCAACACAAACTTTCCCAATCTAATCCCCAAGTCCTGTATTGACTGCATGATCTGTACAGTTCTTTGAAGGATCTAGGAGGAGATGCTCACCAACTCATGGATGATCTAGTGAGTCAGTGAGTGCTGGAACAAGGACATTTTTAGCATGCTAGCAGAACTCAGTGCACATCCATCAACATATCTGAGACAGATTGACAAGGACAGCCTTGTCCTCCTTAGGCAGTTACACAGTTTTATGAAATCCGTATGCAATCTTTATAGAAAATACACATGTGATTTTGCTGAATACCGGGATATTAGTCAAGTAAGCCCCCCTCATCAGTTTTCCATAGAATCCAAAAACTTAAAAGACTTGAAAAATAATAGTGCTACTGCTGACATGTGGTTGCTGTATGTTTTATGTACTGTTTTTAACAATAATAATTGAATGTGAATTGCATTTTGATTTTTTAAATAGAATCTTATATTCTAAGTTCCAGATAGAAAGAGAAAGATCTAAAACCCTGTGTGAGGTATTGGCTCCACAGATAATTGGGTAAAGAAAGAAGGCAGACCAAAGAAAATGTTTTGAATGATTTAATATACCAAAGCAAATAATAATTTAAATTACCTAATTCTAGAACTATACCCTCTTGTATATGTAAGAGTGGTAATCAAGATGATTATAAAAATGATTTAGAAAAAAGAATTTCCAAAGTGTTGAGATGATAATCCCAATTATGTCAGTTATCTCAAGGTGATGACAGACAAATTTATAGAGGAGTTAATAGGACATAAAATGTCATCAATTAAACCTTTTTAGCTACCTTCTGTGATTTATGTCATTTTTAGAGTTTAACATTTCAATGAAAGCATAGTCCAATAAACAGAGAGATACTGGGAAATTCTAGGCAGTAATTTGGAGAAAAGAATAGAGCAGCAAAGAACACAGAGAATCAACCAGCTATCCATCACCATGTTTGACTAACCGCGTGCTTCTCTCTGCAAATGCTAATCTACTTGAGAACCACCCTTTCCCTCAGATGCTGGAAGCCAGTTAATGTATAGTTTTAATTTAACGTTTCCACATGTTCCCAAGGTCTTGTGTTTCCTCTTTTGAATAGAAACCTAGATAGACAGGCTGGCAGACACACCCTTTCCACAATGTTGGAACAAAATTTAAAGCAGTGATTACCAGATGAAACTTGAGTTTCTTTCAGTGTTTGGTGAAATGAGAAAAAAGAAAAAAAGGACAACATAGTGAATTTTAAATAAAATCAACTGTATTTTTTTTTTTTGTAATTTGTACTTTTTCACTTTTAAAATACCCTTTATAAGGTGGGAACAATAGACACTGGGGATTCCATAAAGGGGGAGGGATCCTAGGGGGCAAAGGTTGAATCTATTGTGTACTGTGTTCACTATTTGGGTGACAGGTTCAGTGGAAGCCCAAACCTCAGCATCACACAATATATCCATGTAACCATCCTACATATGTACCCCCTAAAATAAAAAAATAAATAAAAATTAAGTTAACATAAAAAATGTGCTTTATACAAATAAAAGAGGCTAATTAAAAGAAACCATTTGATTTTTTATCTTGACAAAATGAAAATTTTGAAGCTATGCTGCCTGTCTTCCCAGTTTTATTTTTATTGATCTCAGAAAGCTAAAAGTCTTGGAAAAACTGGTTTAAAGTTTCATATGGAAATAAACATGTTGCCTATGGAAAAGTATAGTTAATCCAGATTATTATTTTAGTAAATACAGAACTTTTTCTGTCATCCTATATATCCTTCATTAGTATATAAGCCCTAAAGTGTGTTTTTTGTGAATTTCTAACTGTGTGTATCCGTATATGTTTTTGTCTCTATTTCCATTTTTTTCTCCCTGTGACTCTTCTAAGCATCTGCCCATATTTGCATAAACTATCATTAAAACAGCTCTGTCCAAACGTCTGAATCTGGGATTTTCTTGCTCAGTATAGCTAAATGTAAATGACAAAAGAAGGCAAACATTTTAAATCAAATGCCCTCTAAATCAAGTTCTTGATCACTTACTACTCTGTAAATAGAGCTGTAGTCTAAGTTTGAACTGAAAGAACAAACTGCATTCAGGGATGGAAAAGGGGGTTACCCCCACCATAAAGCAGGGGCTTCTAAGGGTCCGGCCCACCACCCACAGTAAGAAATCCATTTTACATTAAAGCTTGAAAGCACATTCACAGAAATACAACTAAACATCCGCAGCTTAACAAACATCTTGTGAAACAATACTTATCCTTATTTAGTGCAATGCACGCTCACATTTTTTATTCTATCATTTTTAAGCTGACCACAGTTGCCATATTGATTTCATGACCCACTTATGTGTCATGGCTCACAGTTTGAAAAATATTGCCATAAAGCATACATCATAAGGGTGCTATTAAATTACATAGCAGCATAAAGTTCAACAGAATTCTCTTAAATCAATATAAAATTAGAATCTGGGCCCTAACAAATAATTTTCTAGTGTGTTTCCATTGAATTCCTAAGGGAAATAATCAGATATTTTTAACTCACCTTTCCTGATGTCCCTTTCATCTGATCTGATTGTCTCTATCTCAACTTTCCTCGATTATTCTCTAGATAAATATCTTCTAAAGTAGGAGGAGAGAAAAGATAAATAAAAGCTTTATTTTTTTAAGGTAAACTCTGAGGATCCTAGTTTCAGTATTGATGATGATTCAGATACTGGCTTAAGATTCTCAATTATATAAATTTAGGAGAAAGTGTTCTTAAAAATTACTAAAGAAAGGAGTTACCTTAAATTTCCTATTTCATGTTTGTATAATAAATTATCTGCAATGTTTCCCAATTTATTTTCAAATGAGTAATAAGAGGTAATTTTAAATCTGTTACATATGTTGGTAATGTGTACATGGATATGTATTAATATGTGCATATGTACATGAACACACAACCCCACATATATATATAAAATATATATATTTTATATATAACCCCGCATATATATATATATAAAATACATTTACAGTGGCAGAGACCAAGCTTTGGAATTCAAAGTAGTTCAAGCCCTGATTCGAACTTCTTAACCACTAATTTTTTTTAAAATGAGATAATAATCACATCTGCCTCACAAGCTGCTGTCAAGGGCAAATTAAAGTCAGCAAAAATCAAAGTGTTAGTATATTGTTAGTTATTACTCTAAATTCCAAGGAATTATCTGTGTAAGTTTTTTTCTGCAGGAGTAAAAAATAAAATAAAATAAAATTAGTCTTGCTGACCATTTCAGCTGATTTCCATGTATAATCCTAATCTTATAATTCACTTCATGCATGTGAGTAGAGAAAAATAACCTCTTTAAAACAAGAAAATTGGCTGGACGGGGTGGCTAACGCCTGTAATCCCCACACTTTGGGAGGCCAAGGTGGGCAGATTGCTTGAGCCCAGGAATTCCAGACCAGCCTGGGCAACATGGCAAAACCCCATCTCTACAAAAAATACAAAAAATTAGCCAGGCGTGGTGGCACCTGCCTGGGGTCCCAGCTACTCTGGAGGCTGAGGCAGGAGCATTGCTTGAGTCTGGCAAGTCGAGGCTTCAGCGAGCTGTGTTCCACCACTCCACTCTAGCCCTGGTGACAGAGCAAGACCCTGTTTCAAAAATAAATAAATAAAAATAAAAAATAAAACAAGAAAATTATAGAGAAAAGACTAACACTATAGTTGAGGCTAGAAGGGATTCAAATTTATACTCTGGAGGCTGAGGCAGGAGCATTGCTTGAGTCTGGCAAGTCGAGGCTTCAGCGAGCTGTGTTCCACCACTCCACTCTAGCCCTGGTGACAGAGCAAGACCCTGTTTCAAAAATAAATAAATAAAAATAAAAAATAAAACAAGAAAATTATAGAGAAAAGACTAACACTATAGTTGAGGCTAGAAGGGATTCAAATTTATACTTATTTCCTAAAATCTTTAGATAATTGAAATTGACCATCAGTGATCGCTATTGAGACAATCTCCTACACTCTCAACGACTTAAATTTTCAACTTCTCTGAGTTCTCTTAAAGTAATAACCAAATATAAACTTCAATCGGTGGACTGTGTTCTGTAGACTATCCAACGCATGGGCAAACTATGGTCCCCAGGTCAAATCTAGCCCACCAAATGTTTATCTATGGCCTGCAGGCTAGGAATGGTTTTTATATTTCTAAATGGTTGGAGAAAAAGATTACAAGAAGAAAAATATTTAGTGATAGTGAAAATTACATAAAATTCAAATTTCAGTTTCCACAGATAAAGCTTCATTTGAACACAACAAAAGTCATTCATTTATATATTGTCTATGGCTACTTTCATGCTTTAACAGCAAAGTTTAGTAGTTGAAATAGATACTGTATGGTCCACAAAGCCTAACATAAAATATTTATTATCTTGTTCTTCACAGTTTGCCAACCATGGATTACAGAGCAAACAAAACAAAACCTCAAGGACAAAATGTGAGTGATGCTTATTAGCACATTAATCTAATATACTTCATATTTCAAAATACAGTAAAGATAATTTTTCACCATAACTGTGTCTTATATTTGAGATAGAGTATACACCCTTGAACTACATAAACTTAATTACTTTAAAACTATAGTAACAAAATAAAGAGCATACTGTTTTGAACTAAGATACGTTAGTGTGCTTCAAAATCTAGTAAAGAAAAAAGGTTTTTTATTCTCTAATAGTGTATAGTACACACCTAGGTAATGAAATTAGTTAAATATTATTATTTTTATAGTGGAATGGATCCCAATTTAAAATAAAATCCCAAGAACTATTTTCTACAGGCCTTCTATCCATCATTACAAGTGAAAAATCAGTATTCTCCAAAATCAAAATTTAATTTAGATCAAGTAACATTTTATTAAACTCCTAGGACTATAAAAAAAAACTACTGATTTCAGTTTAACATAAGCACTAGTGTTTGAAGGAATGAGAGGATTTTATTTATATATTAATCAGCACTAATTAAATGGAGACTAACAGATAATAGCTTCTTATTACTTGCCCACAAGTACTTGAGCCAAACAGTTAAATCAACAGCTAAAGAGTTTAAATGGACCTATGAGTCAAAAGAAAACATTGAAAAAGCACATTCAGAATTTGCTACTTCTAAATCTCAAGTACTTCTCAATTTTATCAAACACATAATGAATCATCACTAAATCTTGACTTAATTTTCAAAACGGGCAAGAGGAAATTGTTCACCAATCTTAAGCAGGTGAAAGGATTAGATACTTCATAAATTAAAACATGTAATGTTTGACCTTCTTAGTCTAGATCAGTGTTCTCTGGCCTGGAGGGTACACCCGCACCTCTCACACCCTACAACACAATATAGGTGTATGACAAAAAAATTATAAAATCCCATTTCTATTTCTTACTAACTTTCAATCATGTACATTAATATAATAATAAAGTACCTACAGTGAAAGAATATCATGAAAACATTTTACTTACAAGTGCACATAACAAAAATAATTGAAAACCACTGGTCTAAATTACTTTGGTTTGATCTTGAAGTATAATCAATTGCAATAGTCTAAGTAATTTTGATATAAGCTAGAATGACAGGTCAGTTGAAAATGGTTGGTTTCTCTCACATCCGACTGTAATCTCTAAAATGGTTGAACGCTAGAAAGAAGCAGAACACCTTGAAGAAAGAGCTGATTCCAACTCTGAAGTGGGAAATGTATAGGATGGGCGTGGTAGAAGATCAGAAAGCTATCAAAAACAATTGAGGACATGTTCAAAGAACTCAGGTGACAAAAGAGGATCCCACTGGCCAAAAATGGGACAATGTGAGTATCCATAATTATAGTAACTGCAATAGATTGCCTGTTTAAATTCATATGCATTGGTTGCTTTCAGAGAATGCTAGGGAACTAACTCATTTTGAAAACTGCTAAATTTTTTAAAATCAAGCATTTATCTTATATTTTCTAAAAAATAAAAATACTCAAGGTAGATGTAGGGAAAATAAAGAATAGGTGACATTTTGTGCTTGAAGTAAAAAAAATGGCATTTATTTCTTCTAAGTGATGGTATAACTTTTACTCTTGTTCTCAGTATGAAAATACTCAACCAAAAGTAATATGGCATTATTTTTCCCAAGGAGTTTAGTTTCATGCCCTGACTGGTGGATTTTTTAAAGAAAAATGATTCTGTCACCTAATTTAAAACCTTTTGGAATCCATAGTTCAAATCAATCCTTTATAGATGGTTAAAGTGAAGAACTTTTAATAAAATTGTCTTTCCTTTCAGTGGTTAATCCTTAAGACCTGAAAAAAATCCTTCTGAGCTGATAATGTTTCGTTTTTTCATCCTGCCAGTAGAAAGGAAGCCAAATAAAATACCCCATCCTACAGTTTCCTTCAAGGTTATAAATGAGGCTGAAGATGTCCTGGCCTTATTTTCTAAGCTGGCTAAAGTCCCCATAGCCATTTGCTTATCTCAGGGGGACTGGATAGCTCCTTTAAATTATATTTTATATGGTATGTCCCTGAGTTTTAAAAACTATCTGAGCAACAGTAAAGTCTCATTCCTTAAGGTAGGACAGCAATGAAAAGGCTGGCTCATTTCCCTGGTGTGCTTGCCAACACTCTTCATGCATGAATATTTCTCCCTGCTGCTGTCAGTGAGCCTTTCGAGGTGAGGACAAGATGTTTTAGCCATAGAACTACAGGATCAGGGGAATGAGCTAAAAAAGAAGATATCACTGTAAATTTTTTTAAAAAAGTCATTCTTTCCATTCTCATTCCCCATAATGAGCATTCTATACACCACTGAGACAGAAATATTCTCAGTTACTTACAATTAGATGATCTAATTTCGATTCAATTATTCTAGTTAGTAGTTGCAAATGACTGAAAATCTCTGAGGCTAAACTTTATTATCTGTACACAGGGAATAACAATAATAAGTTCTACCAAACTGCAAGGTCAGAAATGAGAAAATAAAAGTAACATTGCTTGTACAATTAATATGTAATATAAACTGTCAACATTATCATAAAAATGTCATTTGGAGAATGAAAAAGTACCAGCTTTTAGATATTCCACAATATCTATATACTAAGCACCTTATATATATTACCACATATAAAACTATGAGGTATGTGTGAGTATTCTCAGCTTACTAATCAGGAAACTGAGGCCCAAAGAAGCTTAGTAGTGTGCCAAAAGATACGTATGGAACAATCAATTAGCCCGAGGTTAAATGTGAATCTAAGTCTGTCAGACTCTCAGACCAAGCTATTAACTCATTTTTTTCCCACTTCTAGACACAGCCAGAGGGGGGAGGGAGGGAGGGAGGGAGGGAAAAGAGAGAGAGAGAGAGAGAAGAGAGAGATTATTTAAAAAATAGAATTACATTCCAAAAAAAAGGTAACAAATATGCTGAGACAAATGATAAATCAATACTTGAAAAAAGTTTATGTAAACAAGGCTGATTCCATGAAGTATTGCTTAATTTTGCTAAGCAAATAATTTCAGTATAAATGCAGTAAATTGAACTGCATCTATTATATGTGATTCCTTAATAATCTCTTTTACTGGATCAAGATCTACTAAAGATATTATTTTCTTGCCTGCTCTGCAGGGATTATTTCAAGTGCTCTAAAATCCTTATATCCCTGAAAGCCTTTTTGATACACACACAGTTAAATCCTCTTACAGTCAACCTGAATTTAGAAAAACGATTTTTAGAGTTTCTCCAAAAACACCACAGGAGCCTTCTAATGCTTACGCACTAGCACTACCCCCATCATCAAGGTACAGAGCTGTTTGGCTGCACATGCAAACAATTGAAAGAGAAGCCTTTGCTCTTCCAGCTCTTTGCTTCCCCTTTCCACAGTGATCTTTCACTGGCCTCTCCTCTCTCCTATTTGTTTGTACTCTCTTCTTCTTCAACAGTCATTAAATTCTTTGTGAAGCTTATTTCATGTTCAGTCTTTTAGCCCAACCTGTTTCTGCTCACTGCAAAACAGAAGTTTTTAACAAAGCAGAGTCGTCTTAACATCTGTTCACTCTTAAACATATGATCCACTTCCAGCAAACTCTGAAAAAGTACAGAATTCAGACATCATCCTGTGAGTTAATCTTAAGGCTTGACATCCCTGAAACATAAATATGTATTAGTTTCTTTTGTGGGTTCCCCGCTTCCTTCTCTGGTTCATCAGAGCACTGCCCTCCAAGATGGAAGAAGAGAAAAAGATTTGCTTTCTTCAGAGGGGAAGTTTGATAACAGGGACATAGCACCTAGAGTACTCTATCCAAGTCCCAAAGATGAGTTCTGGGGCCATATAATGTGTGCTTGATATTGTTAGGAAGCTCTCCTATCCTCCATTTCTCCGACAATGATAGGCTTGTCCCCAGGTGACTGTTGGGGAGCATTCACCTGAAACTGCCTGAGCCCACAGGGTCAATGGATTCACTGCTTTGGAGGATGAGTAAAAACAAGTCCATTTTTTTCAGGTCCAGCTGAAATTCCATTTATGAAGCCTTTAATCATTCAAATCCATAGCAATCCCATGGTACTTATTGTCTGTAAAATTCATAGACAACCTGGAAATATTTTTAGAATTTGTATTTAACACTGTCTTGATTATAGAGCAATTTCTCTCTTGAATATCTTAATATCTACTAACAATATCATAAATCCATAATAATTAATGCCTATTAAGATGAGACTGGTCACCAAGACAAGATAGTCTTTATCTTAAAAACAAAAACAGAACAGTAAGGTGTATTTCAGAAAGATTTCCTTTAAAATAATTAATTTTTTGAAAATTGGGGCTCTTAATAAATTAGAGATAACTGACACTTCCTGATAGCATTCAGCGATGCTGCACTCACAGTAATAGTAATAGCAGGGAACATGTGCTGGTGTTTTCCCCTGGCCAGGCAGTGGGCAGAGTCCTTTACACTTGGCCTTCCCAACACTCAGTAATAAATGCACTTTTGTAATTTACATACAATGGATGAGAAAACTGAGGCAGTTAAGTAAATTTCTAAAAATTTCAAGTAAGTGATAGAGTTAGGATTTGGAACCCAGGCAATTTCACTAGAGAACTCCTTGCCTTGAATCTTTGACTAAAATGAACTTTGACTTCATACTAATCATATTATGTATCCACTTTACTTGGACAACAGAACTACAGAGTTATGTAAGAAATAATGCAATTTGTCCTATTGACAGATTATTGTATTCCAAAGAAAATTTACATTTAAAAATTGCCTTGTAAAGACATGTAAAAATATGAAGGTGAAATGTGAATTTAAGAGTTTCAGATTCGAAGGAACCATGTTATTTTTCCTGTGAGATGCAAATAATAAATTTTAAAGGCCACTAGTGAATTATATTATGTTTCAAAAATAAGATATATTTTTAATGAAATTGATAAAGCAGGCATACACACAATAGACACAATAGCCATGCATCCTCCATGGCTCATAAAACCTCTAGGCCTAAGGGGTGAATAGACTGAGCAGTTTTGGAAACCCAGAGACAGAGCTGGGTCTGATGAAATCCACCTGAAAAAGACAGGGAGGACGTGAAGGGAATGAGCAGCGTGACCTCACTCTCCTCTTGCCTGTGACTAAACCAGCAGCCAGAGGCAAGGGAACCCATTCTTGTTTTGTTTTTATTTTTTATTTTTTGAGACATATTCTCGCTCTGTTACCCAGGCTGGAGTGCAGTGGTGCAATCTTAGCTCACTGCAACCTCAAACTCCTGCGCTCAAGCCATTCTCCGTCAGCCTCCCAAAGTGTTTGGATTACAAGTGTAAGCCACCACATCCTGCCGGGAACCCATGAACACAGTCCATTCCTTGTCAGCAACTTAGGTGGACAGCAGGGAGGAGAGCTTCAGAGTGAACCTGAGAAACCAACATAAGAGAGGTAGACAGGAGAAGTGTCATCTATGTGTGTCTTCTATTTTTCTAGAACCTCCTTCTTCTTAGAGTTAAAAGTATGTAGATGTATTTGTACCATTCTGGAAATTTTCCCTATGTATTAAAAATCCAGAATCTAAGGCAAAATCATTAAAACATATATAACAAAAACATTTTGCTTTAAGAGACAATTTTATCTTTGCTTCTTTTACCAATTACTTCCTCATACTTATATTGAGTGATTCATATCTGCTAGGTATAGCGCTGGGCATCAGAAATAACAAGATTAGAAAGAATGCTCTTTGTTTTCATGAACTGTCATACTCAATTGGAGACAATAGCAAAATAGGTAGATTACTACAACCACTACTAGATAAGTGAGTTCCATGGGTTGAAAGCCCATTGCTTGACTTCTTGCATGACTTCTTGCATTTTCTCCTTATTTCTGTTAGTTTTGAATATTGTAAACAATAAGCACAGTGCTTGGATAGTGACATTTATTATAAGTAACAATATATATTTGTTCTATATAGCCGTAATACGAAAACTTGGTGCTTAGAATTCCAAAGCTGGAGCTAGTAGTGGGATTCTCATCGCTTTGACACCTTTCTTTATCAAGATGATTTTGCAGCAGGGTTTTACTGTTCTTTCCCTCAATTTGTATTTCTAAAGTCCCCATAGGACTTCCTCATCTTTGTAAATCTTGATTCAATGTAGCACGGGAAATGTAGAATGGCTTTATGCTAGGAATGTGGCTTTTTTTATATATATATAATATAGAATGATTAGTCTTGGGATTTTGGTTTAGGCTCCTGAGATTTACCGGCTTAAATCATTCTGTTTTCCTGGACCAGAAGTAAATGTACCAACTTACATAAGCATAGGTTTAAATGAAATCAATAAACAAATCCTCACCTACCTGCCTCATGGGAGAAGGAGTACAGAGGGATTAGATCTCCTTCACCTACCTAAACCAATTTAGTCGTTGTTATTAATGATCTTTGGAAGATAATTTCCTGGTCATGTGGCTAATGCTGTTTTACAATTCAAGTGTCCTATGAGTAATAAAGATAAATCAAGCCAAGGTCAGAGTTGCTGGGTAAATGATTGGGTGAGACATTCAGAGAAAACAGTAGAACTATTTTTCTTTCCAGCCAAAGCTCAATGAAAAGAGCAATTATCCTAAGTTTGTATGAATCTGAGTCCCCATCCAAGCTCTTTCACTTTATTCTTTAGGTAAGTTTGTTCACTTCTATTAACTTTAGATCCCTTCTTTGTAAAGAAGAGATCATAATATCTACATACTTAGGATTCTAATGTGATTTAAGTGATATTATGTTTGCAAATAATGCATTATGTGCATTATACAAGGTAATTTCTCTATATCATTTTTATTGTTGTTACTGCATGACACCTTTTTAAAAAACAGATTGCATTAGCAACAAAGGCACCTGCAGTAAGATAATCACAACACAGACCAGTGTGCTGAGAAGGAGGGAAGCAAATGGTGCATATGATTTTCTTATAGTTTATAAGAAGTCAGATTGTAACTTGTTTCCATTTTCTAAGGTATAAAATTTAAGCAAGCAGATCCTGAGGGATAATGAATGACCAGTGGCCTACTGAAGGCTACCCTACAATCTCATTGCAGAAATTTCTCATTTACAGATAGAGAAGCTTAGGCAAACGGAAGTCAGACCCAGATTCCCATTAGTACAGTGGTTCAGCCCTATCCCATCCCCAAAACACACCTGATCATGCACTTACCTTACCTTACATGGGGTCAAAGTACTCTCCCGGGGTAGGCTCCAGACTTTTCAGATTTTTTATTCCTAGTCAGTAAAGCACATTGGGCAGGCACAATCCTATAAGAATATTTATTAAAGTATGCTCATTGAAATCAGAGCCCTTATACAGTACTGACAGGAAAGTAAAATGGTACAGTCACTGGAAAAAACAGTGTGGCCATCCTCAGAAAGCTCAACATAGAGTTACCATACAAGCCCATAATCCCACTCCTAGATAAATGACCAAAAGAATTTAAAACAGATGCTCAAATACTGGCATGTGAGTGTTCATAGCAGCTCTATTCACAATAGCCAAAAAGTAGAAATGGCCCAAGTGTCCATTAAGAAATAAATTGTGGTTTACATATGCAATGGAGTATTGTTCAGCCATAAAAAGGAACAAAGTACCAGCACACACTACAACATCGATGAACTTCCACAAACATAATGCAGAAAGGAGCCAGGCACAGTCCCATGTTATATGATTCCATTTATGTGAAATATCCAGAATAAATAAATCCAGAGAGACAGAACACAGCCCGGTGGTTGCCAGGGGCTGGACGGTAGGAGGAATGGGGAGAAACTGCTTAATGGGTGGTTTTACTTTGGAGTGATGGAAGTGGTTTGGAGCCAGATAGAAGTACTGTTTGCACAAAATTGTGGATGTATTAAACGCCACTGAATTGTTCACTTTGAAATGGTTAGTTTTGTGTTATATGAATTTCACCTTTAAAAATATTGAAAATTTTAGCTATACTCATTTAAACTGTATGAATATGCATATTTCAACATAAATAAAATAGAAATTAAAATAATGAGCAAAGGTGAAATAAACAGCATTTTATGTTAACTCACAGTACTAAGCTATTGCTCTCACAAAAATCTTGATTAATGATAGTATTTTTAAATAGAAGCATCATTGAATATGTTTTTTATAATTAAGTTTAATAGCTATTTTATTTTAGAGGCAATCACAGCTAGAAGGATTATCTCATAGAGATAAGTTGATACAAAAGGAAAGGCATGTACCAAAGTACATAGACTACATTTACTAAATCATGATGTTTATTTTTGTAACCCCTTTATATAATCTACAGTATAATAAAATACATATATTACATATTAATCCATAACATTATAATATGGACAATATTATAGATGATTATATATAATTTAGAAAAATTATTTTGCTAGGAAATTTCTCTTTCTTAAGTCAATCAGTTATTCTTAAAAACTATGTGGAAGATTTTGCCCATTTATATTTTTAAACACATGACTCAAAACCTGCTTAAATTTGTTATTTGAGAGACTTTTAAAGAAGTTAAAAATTCCTACTTCCAAAATGAAAAAAATTAAAAAGTGTTCAACTCTGAAGGTTTTTATGGATGATAAACATATTTTAACAATAAAAATCACGATTGGAAATTTTCCAAGTCAAATTTTCAAAATACTTTCTCCAAAATTATAAGTTTATTTTGAACAGCACTTAATCTCTCAAGCACTGTTTCAATCATTAACTTTAACTTATATAACGTTTTAATAACACCTATTATGCAGCATAGTATTATCACCCACTTGATATCACAGAAACAGTCAGGAAAATTAGATCACTTTTATTTTTGTTTTAAGAAAGAATGTGTGTAACTCATCTTTGACAATTCACAAGATATGGTTATTCACAAGATAACCCATAAATCTCACAAAAGATTTTTATGGCCATTACACATAGTACTAAAGATACCACTATTTAAAAATCTTGGTTTTATCATAACAAAATCAATAACACCTTGTAACCCATAAACTACAATGCCTCACAATAAGCTGAGAGCAAATCAACATATGAATGAATGTGCTACTGTCACACACTCCCACCCTTTCTTGAAAACACACCGTGTATGTGAAAATCAAACATAGGCAGTCAAAGTGTCAGAACATATATGAAACACTATTAACTTTAATTCTTTCCCATTTTAGGTAAAAATTGAGATAAATAGAACTTATAATCTTATCCTCTTCCACCCTTATGAGTCGTGTGCTTATGACACCTAGGGATGCTCATCCACTTTGGAGACCACTGGTCCACTGGACTAGCTGAGAGAGGAGGAATTTGTAGCTTGGGTTTACCTATCACACAGTTGTAAGTACAAATTGGCTCAACCAAACAACTGATTTTGATATAGTTGTTTCTGAGTAAAATGTATACCCTTAAGCTATTGCCCAGAAGATGGAAATAGTTGACAAAAATTTCATATCAATTAAGGAGCTTTAGGGATAGTTTTCTTTGGAGTTGCTTTTTTTTTTTTTTTTTTTTTTTTTTTTTTTTTTTTGAGACAGGGTCTCTCTCTCTCTCTCTGTCACCCAGGCTGGAGTGCAATGGTGAGATCTCGGCTCACCGCAACCTCTGTCTCCCAGGATCAAGCGATCCTCCCAGTAGCTGGGATTATAGGTGCACACCACCACACTCACACTCAGCTAATTTTTGTATTTTTTGTAGAGATTAGGTTTTGCCATGTTTGCCAGGCTGGTTTCAAACGCCCTGGCTCAAGGGATCCTCCTGCCTCGGCTTCCCAAAGTGCTGGGATTACAGGGGTGAGCCACCGTGGCTGGCCAGGGACACTTTTTATGCTAAATTTTGGTTCATTTTTAATAAAAAAAAATTTCTTAAACAGTACAGCAATGAAAGGCAACATAAAGTAGATCACTTTTTGCAGTTAAATAGCAAAAAAATTCCAACTTCCCAAGCATCTTCCTGAACATTATTTTTCTAAAAGCATATTTATTATAATCTGATATTTTGTGCTTTCTGAAATTTTATCCCAATGCATTAGGTATTAAACAAAATACAAGTACTTGTATATATTGTATTTTATGAAAAAATTATATTTAAAACGTCAATCTGAAATCATTTCCTTTTTTGCAGTTACTCTTATACCTACCTGTAGGTTAGCCACCAATCATCTGGAGCTCTTAGGCTAGGACAACCCATCCAGAGGGAACCCAGACCTTTCTGAGGCTTCTTGTCACCAAGACTGTCACTAATCATGTCCCCTGTGATGCCCAGGCTGGAGTGCAGTGGTGTGATTGCAGCTCACTAAAGCCTTGACTCCCCAGGCTCAAGCCATCCTCCCACCTCAGCCTCCCAAATACAATAGGTGCATGCCACCAAGCCCTGCGAATTTTTTTATTTTGTAGAGATGGGGCTTTGCCATGTTACCCAGGCTGGTCTCAAATTCCCCATCTCAAGCGATGCGCCCGCTGTGACCTTCCAAAGTGCTGGGATTGCAGGAGTGAGCCACTGCACCTGGCCTCTATTGCTCTTTTCTACTTGCAGTATCTCCATTGGATAAAGAATTACACATCTATGCACATATATGATGCTATATCCACATTCTACAGATTTCAAGGATTCTGGCAGTAATAATTTACAAAGGAAAATATTAAATCAGTCTCTTCAAATTGACAATGGTCAGAAAAATCTGCTGCCACCAGAAATACTAAGTTAGTCCTAAGTAGATACAAACATTAACTCAGTTACTTCTTTTACTAATAATTATCCTATGCCTCTGCTTACTTTTTGCTCAAATTTATTTTTGACTGAGGACTCTACATATTAATCTCACTGCTGTCACTTAAAATGAAGTGCTTCCTCAGGATAATGACATTTAACTCCTTCACCTAAGAACTAATGGACTAATAAAATTTATAGATTCCTCCACTACAAGAAAATGGATTGTTTTAATGCACTGCAGTTCAGTTGATCTAGGCCCACCCAAATCTGACAGTGTTACTGACATAATAACTGTGGACTCACATAATCCTATGCCACAAAGGCAAATGGCTCTTCGTGTCCTCTGATCCTCATGGTTTCTCGGTTACATATCTTATCATGGAATGTGTGAAGACACAGAAGTAAAAAAATAGCATGATCACCAGTAAGTTTAGAATTTCAAGTTCTTCCCCGCTCCTTTGTATATTTGAAGAAGTCACTCCATTCCCCTGACCCTTGCTTTAATTTTCTCCATAGCATTTATCACCATCGGGCATGACTATTATTTATTTTTATTCATATTTATTTATTCACATGAATTTCAGGAGGGCAGGCATTTTTTCTTTACATTTACTATTGTACTTCAAGTGTCTAAGATAGTTCCTAGCACACGGGCAATATTCAACTAATTTTCATTGCATGAATTAACAGTTTAACACTGGAAATTAAACTATTTTTCTTCTCTCTGACATAGTCTAGTATTTTTAATATTAGTGCATATTTTTCTCATTTCTCTAATATTTTTCTAATTACTTTTATTGAAAAATATACTCATACACAAAAGATTTGATGAATTGCCATATTTATATTTCTTTGATATAAGTTGGTTCTATAGTATTATTATTATTATTTTTGAGATGGAGTTTTGCTCTTGTTGCCCATTAGAATTATGTATTAAAAATTAGCCTAAGAATTAGGCTGGAGTGCAATGGCACGATCTCCGCTCACCGCAATCTCCGCCTCCCAGGTTCAAGCGATTCTCCTGCCTCAGCCTCCTGAGTAGCTGGGATTATAGGCATGTGCCACCACGCCTGGCTAATTTTGTGTTTTTAGTAGAGATGGAGTTTCTCCATGTTGGTCAAACTGGTCTCGAACTTCTGACCTCAGGTGATCCGCCCACCTCGGCTTCCCAAAGTGCTGGGATTACAGGCGTGATCCACCGTGCCCGGCCACAGTTCTATATTATTTCTAACCATAATATAATTTTTAATGCTTTTAGAGATAAGACAAATTCAAACTGGCTCAACTTTCTCTCTGCTATTTTTTACCTGTAGCTCTTATCAATAACACCTTTATTGAGATACGTAAAAAATTGAACTCTACTGTCCAGCCCAGTCTCATAATCTATTTTCAGTCATTCTGTCTTTCAGATTTCTCAAGATTTAGCATGATAAATTTAAGTGCTAGGAAATCTGATTGTTATTCTAGCTGTACCCATCAGTTGTTAACATCCCTAATGCTTATTTATTTCTCATATAAAAATAAATAGGCAACCAAATAATTTTTTTCTAGTATGCTCGATCTTAGATTATTTGAAAGTAGAGTCATGGATCTTGAAACTTTATCTTAAAATTGATTCATAAGGGAATAAATTAGTAAACATCTCAGACTTCAAAATCATATTATCTAGGTTGGAAACTTGATTCACCTCATTACTACACAGGTGACCTTAAGCAAGTTACTTTATTACTCCAAGATTCAGTTTCCTCATTTATGAAATACTGACATGCTTGTACCTATCTCATAAAAATGTTGTGAAAAGTAAATGAGAGATACCCTTTTAAGTGTTTAGCACACAATGATTGTTCAAAATATGGTAAATGTAATCTGTATTATCCCCCCAAAATGTATGGAAGTCCTTTCTTCTTGAATCCTGTGTGTGTGTGTGTGTGTGTGTGTGTGTTGTGTCAAAATATTTTCACATGTATCTAACACCAGAGTTATTTGTGTATT
Source organism: Homo sapiens (assembly GCF_000001405.40). NCBI lineage: Eukaryota > Metazoa > Chordata > Mammalia > Primates > Hominidae > Homo > Homo sapiens. Next base: position 111,728,696 of record NC_000004.12, read on the forward strand.
TATTTTTCCTATATTTCCCTCATATAGGAAGTCTTATCCATCCTCCTCTTTACTGTGGTCCCCAGAACTGTGTCTTGAACATGGCAAAAACTTGGTATGTATTTTTCAATACAATTAAACTAAAACAGGATACACCTATAGATCACTTTAAAATGAAAATAATTTCACTTGCCTCTCATAAATAAAATCACATGAAAGTCTTTTGAAACACAATTTTCATAAAACACAAATGATAAATTCATTCAACAACTATGAATTGTTCCTGTATTCATCACTTCAAAAGTAGGTGTCATCTTGGATTTGCTGCTTCAAATGTGTTGCATTTAAGCTCCATGGAAGAGTGAACTAGAATCAGGGATTCCAGCCTCAGTCATGCACTTCCTAATTTAATAAACAGTATTTCCAAACACAAAGACTTCCCAATGAATTGAAACATCAGAACTAAGGTCCTAATGAACCATTACAGCTATCTAATTTTCTCTCATATTCAAGTACTACTTTTTGCATTGGTCTAACAGGTAATAACCACTCACATTTCACAGGAAAAACTGGGACTTGAAGAGAATAAAAAGTATGTCTAAGATGATTCAAAAAGCAGGAAAAAAAGTTTCAGTGTTTAGTTTTTAGTCCATCTAGTTTAGACTATCTCCTAAAAATTATAATATCTAAACTAGCAACACATAATGTAGCTAATTGGATTTTAATCTATGTAATTATTATAATATAAATGTATACTTTTATATATGTACATATACACTTTTGTGTAAACTATACATATACATTTATGTATAATAATGTAAATGTGTAATTTTTTTCTAGAAGCTTCTATCCAAAGACAAAAAGACATTATTGGGAATATAAAAATTCACTCAATATTATGATGACTAAACTGCTACAGTTATCAACAAAAATTCCCAGACAGAAAATGAAATTGATGTTTTCCCCAATTAAATTATAAAGCTGACACATAAGCATGATATATTTATGACTGAAAATGTCAACCTTCTGGATATCACCTGGAAGTCTTATTCTGCTAAAAACGGAGAGCGCCTGATAAATCCTTGCCTTGCCTTATCTTGCTTTGACTTGCTGATAATTTCATATCCCAACAGGCTAAGGAGGCAGGAGTGGAGAAATGGTATTTTGAACTTAATTTTACTAAATCCATACATGTCAAGGATGATGTTCAAACTATTTAATAAGCAGTACTGAACAGGCACCAGCCAGTCAGTTTCCAGAGGCCCTGTATGCTCCAGCAGTGAGTTGTTTAGCTGTTGGGTTGTGAGAATCCTAAACCTGGAGAGAGCTCCAAGCGTCCAGTGAACTGGGGGGACAGTTGAGTGTCTCTAGGAAGCGGGACTTATCAACCAGTATTTCAATACTGTAACAACACTATACCCATATTCTTGTATACCTGCTGCATACAAATTTTCTTTGAAAATTCTCCTCTCCTCTCTCTTGAATCCCGTGGACTCATCTCCTACTCTCAGTCTCATTGCTATCTAACCTAGGCAACCTAACCTAAACCATGAGTCTCGTGGCTTCTATCTCCCCAAAAGCATTTAAGCTCTTTTCTAGTCTCTCAAATCATTTTATTTATTTATTTATTTATTTATTTATTTATTTATTTATTTTTGTTTTGAGACGGAGTCTCACTCTGTCACCTAGGCTGGAGTGCAGTGGCTCAATCTCGGCTCACTGCAAACTCCGCCTCCCGGGTTCAAGTGATTCTCCCGCCTCAGCCTCCTGAGTAGCTGGGATTACAAGCATACTCTACCAGGCCCAGCTAATTTTTGTATTTTTAGTAGAGACAGGGTTTCACCACGTTGGTCAGGCTGGTCTGGAACTGCTGACCTCGTGATCCGCCCACCTCGGTTTTCTAGCCTGTCTTGGCTTCTGCTGGCAGTTTTTTTTTTTTTAAGGTCATTGAATTATTATTTTTTATTATACTTTAAGTTTTAGGGTACATGTGCACAATGTGCAGGTTTGTTACATATGTATACATGTGCCATGTTGGTGTGCTGTACCCACTAACTGGTCATTTAGCATTAGGTGTATCTCCTAATGCTATCCCTCCCCCCTTGCCCCTGCCCCACAATAGGCCCCAGTGTGTGATGTTCCCCTTCCTGTGTCCATGTGTTCTCATTGTTCAATTCCCACCTATGAGTGAGAACATGCAGTGTTTGGTTTTTTGTCCTTGCGATAGTTTGCTGAGAATGATGGTTTCCAGCTTTATCCATGTCCCTACAAAGGACATGAACTCATCATTTTTTATGGCTGCGTAGTATTCCATGGTGTATATGTGCCACATTTTCTTAATCCAGTCTATCATTGTTGGACATTTGGGTTGGTTCCAAGTCTTTGCTATTGTGAATAGTGCCGCAATAAACATACGTGTGCATGTGTCTTTATAGCAGCATGATTTATAATCCTTTGGGTATATACCCAGTAATGGGATGGCTGGGTCAAATGGTATTTCTAGTTCTAGATCCCTGAGGAATCGCCAGACCAACTTCCACAATGGTTGAACTAGTTTACAGTCCCACCAACAGGTGCTGGTGAGGATGTGGAGAAATAGGAACACTTCTGCTGGCAGTTTGAAGTTCTGTTCATAACACTTTACTATTTCTCCAAACATCATCATCAACACAAAACCCAACACTCTTAGCCTAAATATTAGGACATACCCTTCATCTGATCCCAACATATCTTTGCAAAATTGTTACTTTTTAAATAAACTCTACAATCTAGGCAAAATGAACAGTTTTTTTCCTCTGAATATAGGACACATTTTCATGCTCCTATTATGATCTTATTCTGCTGCTTTGATTGGAACGCAATTTCTTTCATCTGTGTCTATGCACTTCACAGACCACCTCAAACATGATCTTTGTCAAAGTCAACAATAATCTGAACACCTAGTACAGCTTTAGCAATGCTTTATATACACTGATGATTAAAAGAACTATCTTGTTATACAATTATTTGGGTACATATTTAATCTTCCTTGTAGACTGTAGTTTATTGGGTAGAATCCACTTTTGATTCATTTTTGTGTTCTGATAGATCCTAGTTCATACTATACACACAGCAGCCACTCCGTAGATATTTGGTGGATGAAGAAGTGGGTATAACAAAAAACAAGAGGATAAAATGAAATTGGCAAAAATGTTGGCAAAGAGGGACTCTCATCTCAGAACTCATCTAACTAAAAAGAAAAGAAGAGAAAAAAAGAAATGTTGGCTATAGGAAAAAAAAAAGAAAAAAAGTGCCTGTCCTCTGAAATAGCATATTCTTAAGTTGACTAACAGGTAGATGACACTAGAAATTCTTAAACAGTAAATGATCAAGAAAGATGAAAGTCTAAAAAGATATGACCATAAAAGTAAACTGAAACTGAACCAGCAAAAGCTAATGAAATTGATCTACATGCACAGGGATGATTGTGAACAGAAATTGGAAGGGAACTCTCATAACTCAACACACTTGAATACCAAAGAGTAGCATAGCCAAAACCCAAAAAGAACTGAGTCTTTTGAAAAAAAGAAAAAACATATACTTGTGAAATGGGGAGTAGGCTATGTTGGGTTTTTTTTTGTTATTGTTAGCTTATTTTGATTGATTGGTTTTATATATATAGATATATATATTTACATATAAAGTATGAATATGTATTTATATATTATATATATCATATATATCATATATCAATATATATTGATATTTATTTATATATAGTTATATATGATATATCATATATAAATATATATATCATATATTATGTATGTGATATATCATATATATATCATATATTATGTATATATTATATATAAATATAAATATATAAATATATGTTATATATAAATATATATAGAGAGAGAGAGTAAGGGATAGGGTCAGTCTTTGGGGAAGGTAGAGTATGTGTAGACACACACACACATACACACACACACACACACACGTACAATTTAGTGTTTATTTTCCTCAACAATTATAATGATCAACATATGAAAATGGTAGAGCTAATATTGTTAAAAAGGGTTTTGAAACTCAGGGTAGATAAGGAATTGACAGCAAATAACCTAGTTACTCTTAATTAGTTTAGGTCTTCAAGCCTAGACAAATCACATTTCCAGAAACCAGAATTTATAGAAATCACTGTGAAACTATTGTTGTGAATATCTTTAAAGTAGGGGAGGGGTACAAAAACTATATACCCTTAAAATAATCATTAGAAAAAGAGAAAGGCATGAAAGTTATATATGAACAAAACATCCCACTTAAGAAACCATGAAAATTATATATTTAGAAACTAGAATTTGTATTATAAGTAGCCTTTGAATTTCATTTTTTGATGTAAAATAGTTTCATGTTATGAAATCATACATATTTCTCATTATTGGACTATTTTGTTTCTTATTGTTATTGGACTATTTTATCTGTTTTTGTCTATATGTCATTTTTTACAGAATTCTGAAATTTATTTTAAAGATTTTTTTGTATTTAAATAAGGAGACCATATGTACTATGTGATAACTGCAACATTTTATATCTATTTTGGGAAAAAAAAGAGGTATTTAATAAATGGGATTTATTCCATTGACATTGGTGTCTTTCCTGTAGGGATAGTTGGTTCTTTCTTAACTCTCAGGTCTCAGATATCCTCTCTTCACTAAGGTCTTCCTAATGATAACCATGGCTATTTATGCAATTTTTTCTGCCTCTGCATTTCTCTATCTCCCTTCCTTACTCCATTATTTGATATAAAGTTATAACCATCTGACATACTAAAATTTCTACATAGATATTACTCTCCTTTCTCCCAGCCCCCTCATCCAGCTCCCCAGAATATAAACTGTACAATAGCCAGAATATTTGACTTTTTGTTCAATTCTATGTCTCCGATGCATGAGTTTATGACTGTTCATTATATATTAGTTTTTCTATAGCAAAGAAAATGTCTAGGTTTTGAGTGTCCTTTTTTAGTGTAGAAGTCAGAATGCAGAATTTACTTATATACATATAAAATAGAGCCTTCTCTATGACTAAGATACAGACATGTGAACTCACCTATCACACCCAACTACTCAAGACTCTGATTTAGAAATGAGCACCTCCAGCAAAGAGGCTCTGTGATAAGCTTGAACTTTACTGGTGCATTTTGTAGCAGATGCTTCCGTGTTGGAGTGGAGCAGGGATTGACTGCATGGTCACTTTCCTAATGCAAAACTGGACTTTGGGGCTGGCAGTTGTGCTTATTGCAGTAAAGTTGAGTTGCTGACATTCAATTCTCAGTGGCAGCAGTAGTAGCAGACATAATTCTGGACATAGTTCTGGGCAGAGTTTGAGTTTAACCTCAAGCTCCGCCAAATTCTCCAATAACTCTGTGAAATATCTATCATCCTTCTAATATATTCCTTTTCTGTTTAAACTGTCCAGAACATATTCTATTTGTGAAACCAAGAACCCTTGTTAATACAATCCTATGTCAGTGATGCAGGTGATTCTGCAATAAGTTTACCATACAGTGAGTCTTATTGTTTGGAATATTACTACATAATAAATCTTGAGCCCTAGTTAAAATACTTTGGCTTTTTTCTCTATCATAATCCATTTCTGAGGGTTGGCTCACTGTGATACTCACAGTATCTTGGTATGTTCAAAATTGTCTCCCTTGAATTATTTAGTGGATATTAAACTTAATCCATAAATTCAGTATGCAAAAAATATAAATTTACTTTTTCATCAACTCAATTTATATATGTGGCCCCTTTCCTGAGAGTTATACCTAAATATTAGGAACTCAAATGACGCGAAATTGTTGGAAAGAAGAGAAGTTTTGCAACTGGTACAATACACATTATCTATTCGTGGGGACATCCACTGACACATTTTTCATCCCATCTGGCCCTAGGAAGTAAATCCAAATGTTGCTATCCACTCTACATTATTTCAGTTCTCAAAGGTCCTTCATGTCTATCAGCTCTTTCTGAAACTTCCAGCCACTGCTGGCTAGGTAGGAATTTTTCTACTACTCCTCAGTCAGGAAAAATTATAAAGAAAGTTAAGACTTTTGGCTTCTTCCATGTCATGATTGGGTGAAGGGAATGAATAGATAAAAACACCAATAACCTTCTTCTTGACTTTTCTGATGTAAGCCATCTCTCTAGGCTGCCATCTTTCAAGTGAATTTAATGTCATTGGAAATGGGAGCGATTATATCTATGAGCACATCTGCTTTCTAGGCCTTAGCTCCTTCTACCTGTAACACTATTTATGATTTGCTACCACCACATTCAGACATTAATGACATTACAGTTTTCATGCATTTGTTTATTCATTAATTCAGCAGTATTTATTGAGTGCTTACTGCATGCCAATACACCAGCATTTTCTAAGAGCTAAATATAGGGTAATAAAAACAGACCAATACGGTTTCCTTACTCTTAGGCAGCTTGCACACAATAGTTACTGAATGCTATGTGCCAATAAGTATACGTACTCATTAGACTACACGGACGCACAATTAGAGGCAAAGATTGTTAATTTATACATCAATGTGAGCTTGGAAGGAAGACTTTAAATAAGATCCCAATAGTTGGAACATTTGGACCATACTAATGAGATGAGTTTTAAGGTCCTAGATATTGATTTTTTTAAAAATCAACGATTCAAATAGTGACCTAATTTAACAACAGTAGACGTTAACACACTTAAAAAAACAAACAAACTTAAAGCTTATTTGATTTCCCTCCACTTGATTGTCTGTGAGTCAATCAAGAAATGACTACTCAAAAAAGTAATGTACAATTAATTTAGAGTTCATCAGCTAAAGTGCAGTTTCCAATGCCAGAGTAAAACTACATTATGGGCTGGTCACTACAACATTCAAAGTAAAATATTCACTTAACGTAGAAATGTAGAATTCCAAGTAAATACTTTAAGTAAAATATTAAGTGAAATATTAATATTTTAAGTGAAATAGTAAAATATTGGTGGCATTCTTAAAGAAATGGGTTGTTTAAAGATCATTTTATTTGTCAAATGACTGGAGAAACTGGAATTTTTCTGCTAGAATTCATATCTTAGAAAAATTACATGCTTTGAAGAATTGCCTTGTCAATAAAGATTTTACATATTTTGGGCAATTGCAAGGTACCAAACTAGAACAAGCAGGCCAAACTTATATAGAGACAGATCAGATCAATACTAGTTAGAACTGGATAAGAATAAAGCTGTTTAGAAAATCGAAGTGCTTTCTCAAGTGATAATGAGCTTCTCGTGGGTGAAAGTGTCAGGGATATAATAGATTAGTAATGGATCAGGTTGTAAGACCTTTACATTTTCCTCCAACTTCAAAATTCTACAGTTCTAAGATGTATATGTCATTATGAGTAATATACATAAAAGCAGATAAGTTTGTTTTCTGTGGATGTTAACAGTGTAATGAAATTATAGTTCTTGCTGCCTCTCATATTGGCCCAAAATAAGTTCCCAAATATTGGTATAGTTAGTCTGCCTCATTTATTTCCCTCAACAATAACTCAGGTAAAGTCTCTATGCCTATACGTGGTCCAAGAACCAACAACAGATGATATCTACCTATATTTAAGAAAATAAATTACATTAAGTCTCAGCTAGTTTCGGTGAATATTAGACCTCTGGCCTACCACCTTAAGCTCTTTTTATGGGAATTGCACAGTAATGATTTGTAAATCTTCCAAAGAAAGGTGAAAATCAGAGAAGCAAGAATTCCCGAAGTCCTGATGTTTCACAGATTAGTAGCCTGCCATTAAGAAACTGTGGGGTTTGGGTGAGTGAGCTGGAGCCATAAGCATTATCAGGTAAAAGTGAGGTTTCCTGGGGCTGCAGAAAGAAATGAGCTTGTTACTACTTCTGGTATTAATCATAATAAGTGTTTTATCTAAGCCTGTCATGTTTAGTTTCTCCATGCAATTTACCTCTCAGGCACACTGTTCACAGTATCAGTTGGCCTTATCTTTTAACTTATAGTCTTCAAGTGCCTAAATGTATTTCCTCCAAAGTTCCCACAGTTAACATGACAAAGTGAACATCAGTGCTATTTTAAGACAATGCCGCACCCGCGTTATGAAAGACAGAGTTGCTTATGCCTGGCTACTCCTATCATCTGTTGAAAAGCTTAACAGGCAGCACTGATTCTTTGCCTAATTGCAGTTTTGCTGTGAGATTAGCAAGATTTTAAATGTAGAGCCCAAGTACGTGCTTCAATACATTCATTTATTTCATTTTTCACCTTTGCAAAGAAATAAAATAAAGATCTACTTATCCTCTATCTTGCTCGTCTTTTATCGACTGACACTTGTTAGCCAATGGAGTCAAGTAGCTTTTGAGGGACCATATTATGAAGCTCAATTTCTAAGAATCATAGAACGCTACTAGGAGCAACCATACCAACCAGCAAAGAATTCAAACCCACAACAATGCAGAGACAGACTTTTTGCTAAAAATAGAGGAAAAAACTAGTAGCCCTTATAAACCCAGTCCACAGTTCACATTGAAGAAAGATGTCAACCTGCAAGGAAGATATGACTTGAAGATTAGGAAGCTAATAATATACTACTCTGCACGACCCTATTTCATTGTAGTCCTCTTATGATCTGCTAATAATCCTTTATAATTAAGCTTCCAGTACAATATTAAAATGTAATCCACATGAACACCAATCGCAGTGTATTTCAATGGCTGAAGTGGTTACCGCTTCCAGCCATGCATGACAATCACTGTGCAGCTTTAATTTCATATTTTTAAATGACTTGCCCCAAGATTTCAAGAAAAATTATGATTCGTTTCTATCCATAAGTACAGCAAAATAGGTCTTATTTAAACCCAAACTGTTAAAAGTATGTCTAAAGTATAGGCCTTATGAATTTACATTTTTTCCCCTTTAGAATTAAAAATCTTTAGAACATCCCAACAGAACTGAGGTCATATTTTGAGGAGTAGCTTATGAAATGTTTATAGTAATTGAAGCTGGCAGTACTAGATGTTGAAAATGGATGTCACAGAGTGACATAAGAAAAAAATTATTCATTTATATATAATATGATTTTATTAATCCCTGCTACCTATATTCAACTGTAGTGCTTATAACATTTTGGTCCTTTTATTTCAGTATATTGTCCTCATTATATCTTGAAAACTTTAGTTTTTGTCCAATAAGTGAATAGTAATATCAACCAAATAATAATTATTTGAAGTAACACATTCAAAACATTTAGTTTAACTGAAGAAGTTTTATATTGCAGTATAGCTGAATCATGGCTATAATCTAATTAGTAAATCTACTTCAGAACAGAATTATTAGAATATTATGAATATTGATGCTAGAGTTAATGAGTTTTTTAAAAAAGAAATGATTATAAACAATTTAACCATATAATTATTTTTGATTCTGCCTCTTTAATGGAAACAAGGGAATTGGGTGATGTTAACAGCTTTCAAATAAAAAACATTGGTTTTGTCTCCAGTAAAGAAAAAAATGACAATTAGTCCATGATCTTTTAAAAGATTTGACTTGACTTGTAATTTACAGATAATAAAGTAATATTAGAGGACATTATTTTCCAAGTTGAGTGTTACTACAGATTAGGAAAATAACATCCTGTCAAATAAGAAATAATGACGTGAAACCGTTATGACTATATCTAGACTCAAAGGGCTCTGGAAAAAAATACTCTTCCTCAAATAGGTATTTGGTGAGATTACTACCAAACATTTGACTAAATTTAAATGTCTTTGTTGATGGAAAAGTCGTACATGTATTTTTAAACAAAAGCTATAGACACAGTTCTACAGGAATTATTTACAAGTTACATTTAAGCCATTTAAAAATGGTTTATGTGAAGGTTAATGGTAATAATGTCCTTTCAAACATTTCTTGAAAATATTTAATTAGAGCACTCCTATCTTGATAGAAGTTTTATATAATCCTAAGCATCAAGAAGAGCAGACCAAGAAATTTTTTAAGTCATTGTATTTATTCCTAGCTATATTCCAGGCTCTGTGGTATATGGTGATGAAAGCAAACAAAAAATGAATAAACCACAGAATCTGAGTCCAAAGAGCTTTTAACCCAGAGGTGAGGTTTGGGGAGAGGTGAAGGAGGAAGAATGTAAGAGAAAATAAGCAGAGAGTAAAAGAAAATACACAACACAGAACACAGAAGCAAAAGCCTTTGAGAGTACAATCAGGAAATGCAAATTCAGGAACTAACTAAGCATAAGACATTAGGGTATAGTGGGAACTCTAAATAACTCCACAGTGTGCGCCATGCAGAAGCACTCAAAATAAAATATACTTAAACATTACTTCAGTAAATCAAAATGACCCTTCTGCCCAATTCGGTCTGCAATTTGCAATGTTTGTTATAAAATATAAAACCATAAGAGATTAAACTGTAATATGACACATGCTATAGTAAAGGTACAAGTAAAAGTTACTGAGAGCCTAAAGAATATAGTGAGTAAATCCAGGTGAGGAATTAGAGAAGTCCTCATTGCAGTTAAGAGTTAACTGAATCCTGACAAATAAGGAGAATTCAACACGTAGGAAATGGTGGATGTGATATGATGTAGTGACTAAGAGCCTGAAATTTGGAGCCACATTGTCTAGATTAAAATGCTAGCTGTGCCACTCACCAGTTCTGCGATCCCAGCAAGTTACATAACCTCTATAAGCCTCAGTTTCTTCACTTATAAGAAGGGTACTTACATCAGTGGATTGTTTTAAAGAGTAAATGCGTGTGAATTACTGGTTTAGCTATTATATTTACATACACAGCTATATATATTAGCCATTTGTATTAAGCATTTCTAAAAGTTAGCAAATCCTTCTTTAAAAAATGATCTCAGATTTCATCCTTCTTACTTTTTTGCAGTTCAGCTGTCATGAGAAAGTTGAGTGATGAGACCTTGAGCGGGAATCATCAATGAAAGGGCCAAGGAGATGAGATGGAGCATTGTAATCAACAAAAGTGCTAAACACCAAGAAGTGTTGTCCCATATTTTATTACACTTGAGAATGTCTTGCTATTTTAGACGTTACAAGGTATGGCAAGACAATCTTGTAGCAGTGCTAGAATGATTCGTTGAAATGCATTCAATCAGAAATAAAAGATGCTGTTAATAACTGTCACAAAACTATCGTGCTAAGTGTCTGCTTGCCTCCTGTCATTTGGCTTTGAAGTTGAATTAACTGTTGTAAAAGCGTTTGGTCTTTCCTGCCAGAACAAGAGGTTACAAACAAATCTTAATGGAAACATAGTTTTGGCTTTTCCATTCTGGAGATTTATACTGAAAAGACAAAACACTGGGTACTCAAATGGAAAGAAATTAATTGAAAATAAAAAGAAAGTGTCTGGCCATCTTCATTTCATGCCTGATTTCCCACAGCCATTTTCTAAGTCATTTTGTACCATATAGATACTCTTAAGACTGATTTTCAAGACCTTCCTTAATCTGACCTCTCAGCTCTTCCCAACAGCATACTCTGCTTCTGCACAGGCCAGTAGGATCATTTTGCCCTGCAAACGTCTTACACAGCTCCAGGCCACTTCACACTTATCTCCTCTCCACTTGTCCTACTCTGAATAAATCCTTTCCTTTCCTTAAGGAAATTCTGATCTTGATGTGCCTTCTTCAGCTGCTGCAATCCAAAAAGGACTCTCCTTCCCTCAAACTTCTATTTCATTATATCCTAAGTTTGTTTTTATCAATTTTATGTCAACTATAGACATTCAACTCCATGATGACTTCAGTTGCTTCTAAAATTTGCCAGTCATATTCTTCTTTTTCTGTGCCCAAATAAAAACTTAATAGGTATTTCAATCTTTTTATTTTGGGATGTTTCTATGTTTTAAAATTATTTGATATCACTTGATTTTCTAAATATGAGATGTGAAATGTCAGGGTTTACATTATCTCTTTTTCCAAAATGTCAGCTAACACTGACATTATTTACCAAATAATCCTTCCCTTTGCAATCCAACCCTAATGTCTCCTTTAGCCCAATAAGTCTATTTCAAGAACTCCTAATACACTTATTTGTCTGCCTATTCTGAGCGTCACTACTGAAATGTTTAAATAATTGCATCTGTATTTTGAGTTTTATCACTGTATTTTTTTCTGAATATATGCTCATATGTTTATTACTCTAGATAAGTTTTAGAACTAGTTTATTAAAACATCATGAGTTTTTATGAAAATTACCTTCAACATGTCTATTAATTTGGCAATGAACTTATTGCTATTTATTCAGTAAGTAATATAACATTTCAGAACCTGTTAGGTCCTTTCAAATATGCATATTCAACATTTTTTCTAACTCTTAGATTTTGCCTTTAAGGACTAAACAAACTAAACTATTCCCCATTCTCTGAATATACCTGATACATGTCTACATTTCTAAATCTACCCACTCTCTTCTTTCTCATTGCAAATATCCCCCCATATATTAATATCTCTTATGATCACCATTCACTCACCAAAGAAACCTGTTTTCAAATCCCACTGTGTCTATGGATCTTCTAATTACACAGTGGGAAATAATCTTTCCATTTTCTAAACTCCTATGGAAGAGGAGTGTAATTTTGTGGATGAGTTATGTCACATCAAAAATTTTGATTTACTGTTACTCAAATGTCATCTTTTCCCTTTTCCTTTGGTTTGTAAGATCTATGCAACCAGTTAGTTCTGTTTTCACCTGGCACCAATGAGTATGTGAGACTCTACACTTTGTAATGTTTCCCAAAAAGACACATACTAATTGATGAGAAACAAAGGTTTTTTAACACAAAATGTTATAACTTGCAAGACAGGTATTTCACATTAAAGAACCTCAGAAACAATTTGAAAGCAGTTTAAAATGCTTATTGACTATTTTTTGTCTTCCCCAAGTCCCTGTCTTAGCTGGGCCTCCCCCAGGAAGTCTTCTTTTATTTTTCTGAGATATAGTCTTGCTCTGTCACCCAGGCTGGAGTGCAATGGTGCTATCTCAGCTCAAACTGCAACATGTGCCTCCCAGGCTCCAGCAATTCTTGTGCCTCAGCCTCCCAAGTAGCTGAGATTACAGGCACATGCCACCATGCCCAGCTAATTTTTCGTATTTTTTGTAGAGACGGGGTTTCACCATGTCAGTCAGGCTGGTCTCGAACTCCTGACCTCAAGTGATCCACCCGCCTCGGCCTCCTAAAGTGCTGGGATTACAGGCGTGAGCCACCGCACCTGGCTCCAAGAAGTCTTCTTACCTTCTTATGCTTTCCCCACACAATCAGCGCTCAGTCAACCAGCACAGCCAAATATCCCTCTACCAGGCAGAGGGCTTTCTCTGTCTTATGAAACCTGGGGGCCAGCTGATAGCCAGTCCTTGGAAGCCTAGCCTCTGTCCAGATTGTAACTCATCAAATTATCATCAAAACATCATTGAGAGGAATGGATAGGGGGAGTCTCTTCATAAAATGAAGTTTCATATCAGCTGCTAAGAAAATAAAATTTCTCCATATCTATATTTGCTTAATTGTGACCATGTGTTATCTCTCTATTGTATGACAAATTCTATTAAGTGCAAAATTACTGTCATGCTATTTTTCAAGTATCTTCATAGTACAAGGTGTATGATTCACAATGGCTTGCTTTTTGTATATGAAAGTTTTGGGATGAATGAACCATTTGATAAATTTATAATTGATAAATGAATGAATATATGGCCTATGCATACCCATAAAAGATATGAATAAAATTGACTTGGAAAAAGCTGTTTTATTAAAATGAGGCTATATAAATTTTGTTTCTCATTTTCCTTCTTAGCTCAACAATAGGTCATTATTTTGATGGAGAGATTTCTTGTGTGTGCAGTTTCAATTTTCAAAAGGAAACAACCTCTACTTTTAAGTTGCTTTTTTGTTGTTTTTGTCTCTCATTTATTCTATATTAAATATAGAATATATATTAAATTCCCACATAATATTGAAGAAAAGAGAAAAAAATAAACTTTGTATAATCACCTAAATCTAATGCAACAAGATATTGAATGGAACTTTTCAATTACCCTAGAATTTGCAACTGGGACACAAACCTGAAAATAAATGAATCAAATACTCTGTTCTAAAGAGAGGAAACACCAAAAAGTCTGAGCAAGTTGTCAAAACTGACTAGTTTCATTAATTATAAGTTCTACCTTTTAAAATCACAACTTAATTTTAAGTTTACCTCAATAATATGAAGCAAACTCATAACTTTTTTATTAGTCAATTTGGTCTCTCAAAGAATAATTCCAATGTTTTGTTAAAATTACCTAAAACATGAAAAATAATCATATCTAATACATTTTTTGTAATCACTGTAAGCCTTATATCAAAGCCTGGCCAAGAGAGTTACCTTCAAACCACTAAAACTCTGCTTCACTAAAGGAGATATACACAGAAATACTAAGCAAATGGAAGAATCCCTAAGCAAATGACATGGAAGAAATAAAGTAAAAGGATATCGAATATCTTGCAAATAATATATACAACAGAATAAAAATATTATATATGTCCAAGGTTATTTTTAGCTAAAAGAAGCATGATTCTTTCCAAAGAAAAGCATAACAATCATAACTTTCAGTAATTAATAACAATATCAAAATGTGTAATGCAATGCAAATACTGTTACAAATTTTTAAGAAATGTTCTGGTATTTAATTGTAGTAGGAGCATTTACCACACAACCTCTGTCAGATTACACAGATAAAAAGAGAATCAAATATAGAATTTTTGATTATAAAATTAATGTATCCGATTCAACCTATAACTAAGAATATGTTTTCTTTCCTAAGCATTCATAAAATGTTTTAAAATGACCATATATTAAGTAACAAAGACAACAGCAAGAAAATCCAAAAAACAGAATTTCAGAGGCCATATTCTATGATCATAATGGAATAAATCTAGAAATTAAAAAACTAACAATTAAAATACAGAAAGGGGAAATATTTGCACTATATAGTAAAATACATTACCATATTTAAATATATATTTGTTATATATAATAAAGTGGAATATACTTTTATGTAAAAAGCTTTCAAATAAATAAAAAGTTTCACAACTCAATGGAAAAGTGTACAATGGCAAATAAACAGAGGCGTCAGGAAAAGTAATAAACTGGCCAGTAACTCTGAAAAGTTGTTCACTCTCACAGTTAAACAAATGCAAATTAAAGGCAAACTTTGTCTACCTGCTTAGGAAGCAACAACAAAAAAAATGGAAATAGTGTCAATGGACCATGGAAGCGAATAAATATATAAAAAGGAAGTAAAAGTATAAATTGCTGCACTCTTTCTAAAAGGTAATACAGCAATATAGAGTGGAGTGTTAAACATAGGTACCATCTAACCCATTCAATTTACATCTAAGGATTTATCCTAAGGAAATAGTAAGTGTAAAAGAAGCAAAGATATTATAAACCTGAATGGTCAAAATAGTGATAACTTGAAAACAAACTTATATATCAAAAGGAGACTGATTAAGTATTTGTTGACATGTCCATACAGTAGAATATCCTTAGATAATAGAAGTAATGATGTTACATGTAAGTACTGAATGATCCCATTTACAAAAAGCCAAAGTGGACATGTGTCAAACTTGTGGGGGGCTGGTGAAGAATGCAGAAATCTATTATTAATTAAAGGTTCCCACTAGTTGGTTGACTCAGCTTAATTTAGACTTTCATCTCTTTTGTTTTTAATTTGTGATTGCTTATATATTTTAAAATCACTTTTTACCAGTTTATTCAGTAAAAACATTTGTGTGTCTATTCACTGAATGTGTGTTCCAAGTACTTGACAAATTTTTTCCAAAAATCCCCAAACCAGAAAATACCATTAGCGATATTTCATTCCAAATTAAAATAATCTACATTTCATTCAGACCCTCTGGGGGCATCTCATTATCCCTTAGCTGAAAGTGGAAGCTAGGATCTGACAGAAACTGAAATCTTTATATTGATTCTAACAAGTATAGTTTCTTCTTTGCTGAAAATAATTGCTGACTTAAAAATTCAAAGTTCAAATTTTATTCTCCTCCATTGGCTTGAACACTATTCCTTGGGTAACATGTGCCATGGAGTTTACTTTATGGGTTGGAATCATTTCAAATTTTAGCAGACAGTGAGACCAAGCTAAAGACTTCTTTAAGTGTTATCAGTCTTCTTGTTTTACTGCCATTTAGACCCAGATTTCAAAGGTCGATGAATTAGGCCAGCGTTGTTTAGATTATGTACCAACTACAAACATACCATAATGTGCAGGGCTGATAAGAAACATGATCGATAACCAGATAACCCCTTACAGCTGGTGCTTTTGAAAGGAAAGATGATCAAAAATGACCTAACATTTTCAGCATTTGTTTACAACATATTGATTAATTGTATAACAGTTAATGTATTCTAAACAGCATGACTGCTCAAGCTGAAGTTGCTTTATGTCATTATTACCAAATAGCAACCCAGGGTGCTACAGGATTTTTTGTATTTCTACTTAATATATAGCTTCAATAATGCATCTTGCTACTTTTCTTACAGTCCGTTCTGAAAATAACGTATTCTTCACTGAGTAAATATGTCAAATACAAACAAAAAGTAGGTCAACTTAAGCCCTGAAATATCTTAGGGCAAAGAAATGTATGAGTGTTTTTAAAATCAATTTACTCAGTATCCCAAAGGATCAAAGCTCTTTTTTAAAGCTCTAAAGCACTGGAAATAATTCTGATATATAGATTCTAAATATTCTGCTTAATATGAACCTTAAACAACTTGATATGTTAATTTAAAAAATACCAACCTATGATTTCTGACTAAAGAGTTCTAACACTGGAAGTTTAATAGAGGTTTAAGTGCATTTAAACTCGGGAGTAACTGCTAAACTGCATTGAACTCCTACAATGCATGTCAAGCTCCATTCTAAGCACTACACATATATTATCCAAAGGAATCTGCACAATATCACTATGGATAAATATTCATTTTAGAGAGGACGAGAATAAAACACAAAGAGAATAAGTTCTTCCCTATATTACCCAGCTAGTGAATGGTGGAACTGAGTTTCAAACCTAGGCAGTCCAGCTCTGTAGATCATGCTCCTAACCTCTGTGCCTTCATATAATTATTAAAAGATTTTTCTTGCATTCTATATGTATGTGTTAAGGTATGTATCTTTACAATTCCTAATAATACATATTCTTGAAAGTTTTAAACATGGCACAAAGATTGCATTACTGAGTAACACTATTTTCTAAAACTCCTGTGATTATTTTCCATTACATGGGGTACGTTCATATGTAAACCTATGCACAGACGCCTTTCTTTCCTTCCTCTTTCTTCTATTTTTATTCTCTATTCCCCTTCTCTTAACTTGCTTACATAGATTTTCTCTCCCAAAATTTCACTCCATTCTCTTTCGTTAAGCCACATTTTCTCCCTGCACCCCCAGCTGCATCCCAGATCAGCTGACTTCTCCCCAACCTCACATCCCCTTCTGCCCACTTTCCTCTACCCAAGTCCGTGTTTCCAGGCCTCTGGCTCCTAGTAAGTGACTCGGTTATCATCCCTGGTCAATCTGGAGATTATAGCCCCAGTGCATCTTATCACAAAACTTAGTCATTATTGTAATAAAGTCTTCTTTCAAAAACATTTTTAATAATGATCAATATAACCTAATGAAATACTTTAAAGACTTTTTATTCCAGTGGTTGAATTTTAAAATCTCATCCTGCCTTTCTAATGTTAATTTTTTTCCAAATTTCAGTTTAATAACTACCTACTTATCAAAAAGAACATAAACAAATTGGTCTGCTTTAAAACAAGCTTTGTCTTACATGGTGGTGTTTGACAATTAATCCCTGGTTCTCACCTTAACCATGAAATTCAGCTGCTTTGTGATAAATTACTGGCTGATATCCTAGCAAACTTTATCACCAATAAAACAAATATGAATTTAAAAGAGTAAAAGAAAAAAAATCATGGACCATCAAAAGAGAAAGAAAGGTGAAAAGAATGCTAACATAAACAAACCCAAATAAGTTTTTTAAAAAATTAAAAATCTATTTTTAAAAAAGTACATTTATTATCTCGAGTAGAAAGGAGGTAATAAAATTAAATATTAGTTTTTTTAATTATTAGGTATTGAAGTACAAAATTATTTTTATTTCTATTGCATAAAAGTTGATACAATTATTTTTACAAAAATACATTTGTTATCACAATAATTAAAAATAGATTTCAAGATGAAAATTATAAAAAGAGAGAAAGAGGGTCATTACATAATGATAGATGGGCCAACTCAGTAACCGGAAGTAGGAATACAATATTTAATATCATAACCGGTTAGGTTAGAAACCATCAAGTGAGTGTGATGTGTGTGTGTGTGTGTGTGTGTTTATGCATGTACAAGTGCACTCACTTCATCAAACCCACATCTGGGTGTTTGTTTTGCATAAGGAACATTCCTCATTTTTCATCTTCTGTTATGTGGGAGGGAATAAGTAGGGAAGAAGTAAACCTTGCCTTTCTCACTCTCACAGAAAAGCCTGCAGTTAAATGAAGGAGAACTGAAGATCTTCATTAGAAGTCATAGTGATTCCCACCACTTGTTTATGGTGGAGTTCAGATTCCCTCTCCAGGGACTGGTCTAAGCTTACCTCCTCCCCTATTGACCTGAATATCTCGCCCTCCTAACATTAAAAGACCTGAGTGAATTTTCATCACATTTCTCAGGAGACTAAACTTAGTGGAACTTTGAAGCGTGCCTTGGAACACCATGCTTATGCAAGTTTTTTTTTCTGCTGTGGATTGTTGATGCTGCAGGAGCAGATAGACTGATGTGCCTTGAATTCCAACAAGGAGAAGGTAGTGTGTTGTTCTTTTTGAATAAAGAGTGAGTATTTTCAAGAGGCTTTTTACCTTAAGTTGCTCCGTTTTTCTTCTTGATCAATTCAATGAGAGTCATTTAAATGCCATGCAACATTAATTTATATTTACTCATTTGAAAACTTTGTCTAGTTATTTGCTCATATTGGAATCATTTGAGGCCAATCTGTAAACAATATTCAAATTCACTGTCATGCAATAAGAATTAACATGTGTGCATACACATGTATTGGGGAAGGCAGGGGACAAAGAAAAGGTAAATGATGGCAGTCATATTAGAAATTAACAAAATAGGAGTTTTCATAATCAAATTAGACCTCACCCTGATAATTAGGAAATATTTATAAGCAATGATGTGGCTCAGGGAAATGGTATATATATTACACAGGCTACTTTAGAGGATTAAGACCTTTCAGTGTATCTGATCCATCTGCTTCTTTAAGGCCCACGTTTTGGAGGAACTGCCATGTGATTTTATGTAGGGATGTTCATAACCTGAGTTCTTAAAGCTGTGTATGAAACAGATTTTAAGAGATCCAGGCCTGATTAGAACAGTTAGCCTATTCACATCCTCCCTATTTACTGTGGATTATAGGAAGGGAAGTAGGGGTTAAATCAGCAGGTCTTCCTGTTTCCCCAGAGGTTAACCTGGCAGCCGGTTTGGCACCCACAGGAGGGCTGACAGGTAGCAGGATTTGTCTAAGCAGGCTGCCTGAGAGCCAACAAGGAAAACTGAATGCTCTGGATTAGTTCTGGATTATGTTGTCAGAGTGAAGGCTGACGGACAAACTGCAGAGGAATAAAATGCAATCTGTTTGGGGAGAGAGGCAGCGTGCATAGCTTTCATTTTTCAAGAAATGACAAGAAAAATCATTAATAATTTGTAAATCCATGTCCATTAACTTTTCTCTTTGTTATCCCAAGACAGTCTTTACAACATGAGTTTGCCACTGTCCTATATCTCTTCTGCCTAGTGACAGATGGCAAGATAGATATGAAATTGGATTCATAAAATAGTACCCCCATCTCCAAGACAGACAGAGACTTTATTTTCCTAACATCACTTTTCTCCTCCCAACACCCAGCCCCAGGATGAAAAGAAACTTTGACATCGGTGAGATAGCCAAATGACATGCATTTGTTTTCTGTCCTCTGTGATAAATTTTTAAGACAATGGTATTACTTAATGAAATTCAAAGCCAAAATAAATAACCATGATAACATTAATACATTTATTATGATGATAAAATATAGTGTGATTTTTTTCATGAAATGACTTCAGCATCAGTTTCAGGAACTATCCGAGATAGTTAATAGTTATTAACATTAAAGTACATTTAATGAAAATAAATTTAGGTCTCTATAGAAAGGGTTTACATTTTTCCAATATAGGAGTTACTAAAATTCCTAAAGAGCAATTGTTAATTAATCGTGACTAAATTTCCATTTACTAACATTGAACACTTTAAAATAATTTAGAGTTTGTTCTTGGTACAAGTTTTATAATCTACTTTAGTATTTCTTAAAGGGAAAATTACTTATCATCAGATAAAAGCCTCTATTTAGACTAAGGTAAAACTAGCAAAAAAATTAAAATATTTCTAAAATATCAAAACTGAGAATATTCAGAAATTTGGGCTTTTAGCGGAATTATTATTATTGCTTTATTATAGTTTCAAAAATGGAGTTTTGAGAAATAAGGGGCCAACATTTATAGACTCTAACAGTAATATATTAATAGTAGGATTCTTATTTATTCCATGCTCAATGATTTCAATGACAAATTATTCTCTTTTACTTAGTAGAAGAGTTTCTTTTCTTCTCCGCAGAAAACACCATACATTAAGTCCCAGTTCCTCAGACTGGGGGGTTTAGCATATATAATTACAAAAAGAAGGAATCCACAGTAACAAATTAACATTTTGAGCTTGAGAAGAATTCCATGTCGGCTTTCCATTGCTGTTTCATCTCACTCTATCTAGCACATAGTAGGCACTCAATAAATATTTGATAAAGAGATACATAAATCAATAAAACATGTTTGATGCAAATAAATGAATTCATTGTTACTTAGAAGCAGAAAAACGCCTATTAGAAATTTCATTTTGTACAATATTGCTCTATTGGATGTTAATATAATACATAAAGCATAAAACAGTAATAATGACTAAAAAAGATAGACTCAGTCTGTTTATATAGCATTATAATAAATTAAGAAGTTATTTGGCCCGCAGCTGTGATTTTTCTCACTAGAGTCAATTAAGCCAGCCATTGTGTATGAACACACCTTCAAATCTGTGTTTACTTATAACCCATTTAGAAAACAGACTATCATTATATAAAATATTATTCAGATAAAGCAATCAATGATATAATTCTTCTCATTTTTAACAATGAACCTCAAATTTCTTGTACACATACATATACCGCCTGTTCTTACTAGCTAATAACCATTAAAAATAATTTTGATTTATCAGTTTCTAATAAAAATAATCCATTATTTTTATAGCAATATAAAAAAGAATATCAAGTTTTTGTTTTCTTCAATACTTGTCCTAAAGATAAGTTCTGCTTTACTGTAAAGTAGCAATTCTTTATTATTTTTATATTATAGTATACAAAGGAAATGATAATATTTCTCTGGGTACTGGCTTGACAAAGAAAGCTGCCCTTGACTGGGAGTCCCCACTGCTTCCCCAAGGCTGAAGACATTAACTTTTCTGCACAACTTTAAACCTTGGGGCAACAGGCCCCTGTGCCACAGCCCCTGGATAGAAAGTTCTAAGGTACTGCATCCTCCTGCTCCCCACCCTTTTCTAAAATCTCACAACAAACATGTCATGAGTTTAGCTGTAAAATTAGAGAGACTGTTTCTGAAGAAATAGAAGCAATAAGCAACAATGGAAGTTTATTTCTTTATTATGAGTAGTGAAATAGCAATAAAAATAACTTGATGAATAATATAACTACCTAGAAAACATTTTGAAATAAAAATGAAGTTTATGAAAAACATCATCTTTAAAGGATGTTTATAGAATAAGAGAACTTTATTTAACTGCCATTCATGTTATGTACATAAGAAGAGTTAGTATAAAAACAAATAAACGGGCTATGGCTTGGAGTTATATAGAAACTCCAAATATTTACAATTTTAAATGTGTTAAAAGATTGGCAGAGGAAGGAGAGATTTTAAAGATAAATACAGGTGGCAATTATTGAGTCATCTCAATGAAGCCACCTATAGTGCAGAATTTCTTTCAAGTCTGTAGCCTTTCGCATTTTCTCAAAGGTAATAGACCACCAAATATTTTAGATCTAAAGATTGTCCTCTTTTCCATAACTATGATAATATAATACAGGCTTGGGTAACTTATAAGCACTTAATAAAGAAAAACAAATTGGTGAAAGGGAAACAGAAACTTTGGCACATTTGAAGAGTCTCTGAACTCCTCAAATCAGGTCACTGTTTCTTAATGGAGCAAAGTCATTATATTACTTATTATTCTTTTCAAAAATGACAGCAGCCTCTCCTAAAATCCTATAGAGTCAATGCTAAGACAGTTTTCCTAAACCAATTAGCCTTGTAGCTTTTGTTGTAGATAGTCTTACTGTTTTGTGTCTTACAGAACTTGCTGTTTAGTATCTTTGCAAGCCTAAATAAAAACATCAAATTTAAGAGATATTTAAATTGTTATAAATTTTCTAGCATAAATAAAATCTTATTAAAAGTCAAAGCAATTCAACAATTATATAATTCATGTACTTTGATTTCTAAAGTCCAGTCCAGTAACATGAGGATGAAAAATGATGATTGGGTTTGGAAAATTAAAATAGATGTAAGTGTTGCCTTAATAAAAGCAGTTCTAATGTGGTGGTGAGGGAATAATCAGATTTCAGAGAACTAAAAAATTTAAGTAAGGAAGTGAAGACTACTTCTTTGCAAAGTTTGGATGAGAAAAGAAGAAAAAATGAATAATAACAGAGGTACTCCAGTGTCAAGGGACACTTTATTAGAATAAGAGGGGCTGGAGCATCATCATATTCATGAGAAGGAACCATTAGAGGAGGTGAGTATGAAAGGGAGGGTGGGAGGCCGAAAAGTAGAGTCAAGTCTAGGCAAATTAGATTTTGGAATATTGATGGGATGGATGGACACATCTTCCTAGTCTAGGGAAAAGACTTTTAAGATTGGTCTAGAGATAGTTTACAGGTAGAGGGATAAACTATAATGAGAGTTTGTAACAAAATTGTGATAGGTACAGTTTTCTCAATAAATCAAGAAGTCATTAGCTGATAGAAGGAAAAGATTGAAGAGGGCACATAAGAAAAGCACCACATGTTTAAATAATTCATTGAAAAGATTGGGAAAGGGGGTAGATATTACAGTGACTAGACAAATTGGAGACCACAGGTTTGTAATGGTCTTTAAGTTTTTGTTATTATTCTTTGGCAGATTCAGCTACTAGGATATGGGAGCAGAGAAGGTGGATTGTGGCAACAGTGTAGGATCAGAATATTGTAGGTAATAGGTGAATAGACAGATATAAGAGTCAAGGATATTTGTGAGCAAGTAATTTGGGTAACCAGCCACAGGGTCTAGCCTGGGGGGAAAAAGGGAGCAGAGGAGGGATCCAAGGACTGGGAGCAGCCACATGGATCAAGAAAATGAGCACCATTAGCATAAATAGTAGGAGCTATTTAAATTTAGATAGTATAGGAGATGGCCCATGGGGTAGGAAAGTTAAGGACAAAATAATGGGGGAATTCTAGCATTCAAGGAATATACAGACACAATTTGTCTTCTATTAATAATTGGTGGTGTTAGAGAAAACAATAATAATTTTTGAAATAATTATAAAATGTGAAGTCTGATGAACACACTCAGAGATCCCTTTCAAAATTTTTGCCATAGAGAATGTGAAACAGTTATATGGAAGAATCAGAGTAACTGCAAGGTAATTTTCTGTCAAATTCTATAAAGAAACTTTGAGGTTTATTCATGCCTTTCAGTTCATTTCATGACTGCGTGAAGGAGTAAGCATTAAGACACATGCTTAAGGTAAAGTGATTTTTTTTCTTTAAGTATTTTTATAGCTGTTTTAAGAACTTCTCCCGAAATACATAAAACAAAAATGTGAACACCCAACATCTAAATCCACCTCTGAACCCACCTTTGAAAAAGGATGGTGATTCCACTAAGGCAGAATAAGATGACTCAAAACTCCAGAGAGTGTGGGCACCACAGGCACTCACGAATGTGGGTGTCTGTTCATTAAGAGTAACAAATGAGCAAGGAGCCAGCAGGCTTTCCATGGGACATTTCTTTCAGCTTCTAAACCTCCGTAGGTGGCATACCTCAAAAGATAATTATTACAATTATTGCAATTAATTATTACAATTATAGTAATTATAATTGTATATATATAGTAATTATAATTGTAATAATTTCAAAGGAAGAAAAATATTCCTAAGATCTCTTAATAAAAACACAACCATAAAATCCCAACTATCCTTAGCATGAAAAACTAAACCTTTAAATCATGAATTCATTTCAATTTAAGAAATACTTACTGAGAAAATAATGTGTTTTAGACATGGAAAAAAGTGCCCGAAAGTATATACAAAGTTTGAAAAGAAGGATGTCCAAGGGAGTAAATCATAAAAGAAGAGGACCTACTTAGGAAAATAAACATAAACACTGTGAGGAAATGGTATTTTCCCTCTTGCCAGTACTCCTAAAATGCACTTGGCTGAGCAGTGCAGTAACAGGCATTGAAATAGATGCCATGCTTATACACGAACTGCTATGTGTGTTTTACCACTTTCAAAGGCAAATAATCAAAGCTGTATTTCCAAAGACCCATGTAAAGTAAAGAAGTGTGTGTGTTTGTGCATGTGTGATTCCACTGAATAATGTAGTCCAAACTGGATAAAGTAGAGCAGTGATAGGTAACAGAGATATGTTATACAATAATGATTCTTTTTTTCCTCACCTCCCTTTCTATATCACAATCTCATCTTAAACAACATCACAAGCCCACAGGCATGCACACACACACACATACACATACACATACACATACACATACACATACACACACACACACATTGTCATCTTCTCTAGCTTTAGTTTTCTTCATAGCACTTAGTACCTGAAACAATCTGTAACATAGTGATCTTGTCTGTCTCATTTACTGCTGATTCTCCAGAACCTCAGATAGGACTGGCGCATTGAATTCAGTGGATGAATGACAGAAAACACCATGCGCTGAGCTCCAGAGACAAGATATACCCACATTTGGCCCTTCAATTACTGCACCACTGCCCTTTATTTCTTCACCCATAACTTAGTTTTTCTTTTGTTTCTGCTTTTTCCTACAAACAGATTTCAGAGCTTATATCAGAAGATAAAGCAGAAGGAAAATATTGCAAATCATAATTTAGACCTGGAAACATAGCTTGAGAGTCATATGCAGATCTATGACAGGTAGCTGCTTGTGTGATTTTTGTTATGTGTTAGACCATAAGGTCAATGCTGTCAATCCGCCATGACCAACTGAAAGTGTTTCAAGAACAGTTTCAGAAATGTCATTTTTTTAAAATCACAGTTTATGTTAGTTCCTCTTAACTTTGAGAGAAACATTCTAAAACCCCCAGTGGATGCCTGAAACCACAAATGTTACCAAACCCTATATACAATATGACTTTTCCTATACATATATACTTATAATAAAGTTTAATTTATAAATTAGGCACAGTAATAAATAGCAATAACTAATTATACATATACTGTAGTAAGTTATGTGAATGTGCTCTTACTCTCTCTTCTCTCAGAAAAATTGTGTTGTACTACACTGCAGGTAACTGAAACCACACAAAGCAAAACCATAGATAAGGAGAGATATCTGTATGCAAATAAAAATACTGTTAAATGCTGCATATTAATCATTGCCCATGTGTTAAACCAGTCCTTACTATTTCTTTTGTGTAATTCAATATACAGTGATCATAAAAATCAAAAAAATGTGTTCAATATCACACAAAAATTCATGGCACATACTATGTTCCAGGCCCTCTTCTAAACACTTTGGATGCAGCACCATCGGTTTCTGCCTTGAAGAAAGGCATATTTAAATAGAGAATAAAAAACAAATAAGAACTATATCATATATGTTTATATATGAACTGTTTGATGGTGGTAAGTGATATGAAGAAAAATAAGGCAAGAGAGAGAGTGGCACTAAATGATCTCAGGAAGGCACTGTCAGCCAGATCTTGTAAGGATTTGTAGGTTATAATAAGGTCCAAAATCTTTGCTCACAATTTTAAAATCCTAAAAGTTTTGACAACCAAAAGTCACTCCCTCCTGCTACTAAACTGTCTAAACATAAAATATCATGTTAGAGTAAAACTAGATCTGATCTGATGTGAGGCTATTTGCAGTCTTTAATTGTTTCTCCTTTTGCTGTGAAAATTTAAGACATATAAATATTCCACATGGCCCCAGAACTCCAGTGGGCAATCCGCATAATAGAAAATATGTTCTATGCATTGCATTAACTCTAAAAATCTTCAAAATTGTTAATATCAAAATGCATGTGGTTCCAAAGTTTTCAGATTCGAGGTTATACCTGTATGAACTTGGCTTTCACTCAAGCAAACTGGTAAAACATTAGTGTTCGAACAAAGAGACATGATCTGGATTATGTTTTACTATGATGATTCTTACTAGTGTATATACATTAGAGAATTTTATTATCAAATTTAAAAATTTTCAATGATAGTAAAATTATTATAAGTGTATAAAGCAACAGATCCCCAAATGAGACATAATGAGGTACCAAGGGAGTCTATAAATGCAGAAATGAAGTGGAGAGTGATGAGATCCTTATAGGTGATGGCAAATTGATCATTCAGTTTGGAGCTGTGGTAGTGAGCAGGTACCTTGAACTACATTTTGACTTAAGGGGAGGAAAGAAAGAAGAAGAAGAAACAGAACTGCCAACTTACAGGGAAAAAGTCCTAAGATTTGAGCCATCAGTGTAAACCATTAAAAGCTGACACACAGGCCAGGCGCGGTGGCTCATGTCTGTAATCCTAGCACCCTGGGAGGCCGAGGCAGGCGGATCACTTGAGGTCAGGATTTCTAGACCAGCCTAGCCAACATGGTGAAACCCTGTCTCTACTAAAACTACAAAAGATTAGCTGCGTATGTTGGCAGGCACCTGTAATCCCAGCTACTCAGGAAGCTGAGACAGAAGAATCGCATGAACCCGGGAGGTGGAGGTTGCAGCGGGCCAAGATCGTACCACTGCACTCCAGCCTGCGCAACAGAGGGAGACTCCGTCTCACACACACAGATGCACAAAAAATGTCCACATACAAATGCCGTCACTTTTAATTTTAAAAATAATAAATAATATTTGCAAAAAGTTCAATAGTAGAGAGAGTAGAAAAAGTCCCTCGTATTCCCGCTTTTTGGAAATAACCACTGAGTTTCAGCAATCAAAAATCTTCATGTGCTCCATGTCAAGTACATGCACACATACATTATGATTTTCCATAGTTCTGGTACACACTGTGGATTCTTCTTGTAGGAGTGAATTCCAGAGAAGGAGACTTATGTTATGACTTATGTTATGACCAAGCTAAGAAAATCGTTGTCAATATTTCTCAGAAGTACATTTTTTTAAAGTTAGTATCCAAATGCATTTGGTGAGTTTCTATGAAAACCAATACATTAAATTATTTGGAAGCAATAAGATATATAAGCCAAATCATACACTCATTCTTTACTACTTTTTCCTAAAAATGAAATGAAATTCAACCATCTCATTTAAAATCAAGTTTCATTTGTCCGTTCACTATGTAGTACTTGATAGAGAGTCCTTCAGAGATGCCTAAAATAGTATCTGGAAAGTAACAGAAAATGAAAGAAACAGAAACCATTGCAATTCAACACTTCTAATCCATTAGATCTTTACTGATCACCCACTGTGGGGCAGGCATAGTACTAGGGACTCTGAATAAAAAAATCAAATAAAACCTAATGTCTGTCATTCGTCCTTTTCACTTACATGCACAGAACATTTATTTGCTTTAAATTAAAACTTTACGTAAATTACTTACCCTTAGGATATGTTTTATCAAACATTTCAACACGGAATCACCTTTACTTTGAAGACATTCTCAATTTGAATTTTCTTAACAGAAACAATTACAGGTTCTTACGGTCATTTTCCTCTATGAATTCCTTATGTCTAACTTTATATCTGCAGACAACAAAAATTTATTTAGATCAAGAAATATCTAGCTGAATGGTGTGAATCCTGATTTTGATTGTTAGTAGAAGATAATGATGAACACAAAAATTGTCATTGGCTTTTGGGCTGTAAAAACTAAGTCTCATTAATTCCCAGTGTGACCCCATAAAAAAAAAATTCTAGTATTCTCACAGGTAGCCATTGCCCTGGGAGCAGAGAAATGTGGTAAAAGAGGAACTCCGTGTCCAAGCTCATCTCTGTCCTAGGAACCAGTTTTTTCTGAACCCAGCAGAAATGCCAAAAGTCACTGAAAATGGAAAAATAAAATGGTAGGGAGAACACAGGATCAATTATTGATGCTTTTGGTCCAAATTTAATAGACCAGGTCAAGAGAATAAGTGACCTCACCAAGGGAGAGATGTAAACAGAAATCAACTAGAACAAGCTGGTGAATATAAAAATAAAGAGGGTCCAAGAAGGGAAGGAAAGTAGAGTCACTATACTATGAAGAGAATTGAAACAAGAACCTCCCAGGAAGGCAAAGGAGAAGAGTTTTAAGAGAAGATATAAATCTAGAATCACAAATTTACAAACAGGTCAAGATATGGACTGATAAAGTTAGTGCAGTTACTTATCATACAGTTCTTGGTCTTTGCTGTATGCAACTAGTACAAATATTATGAAACACTTACCCAATAAATCCTCCTAAATTGAATAATATTAATAGTATATAGAAACAAGTTCTGTCAGGAAAAACAGGAATTTTCTGTTTGTTTCTTTGGCATGCAAAAGTAATTTTGTGCTTTGTACAAAAGTAGAACTTTGTACCAGTACAAATTACAACTTTGTGCTGGTCTGTACTCTTTCAACTACAAGCACTAATCATTTTGAGGAAACAATTGCACACATTGAGAGCAAGATTACAATCTCTTTCATCCATTAATTTGTTTTTGACCTGCTGAAAGGCAAGACTACCTAAGAGTCTTTTTGTCTACAAAAACATCTGAAGTATATGCAGCCATATATGCCATGTTCAATGGATTGGACTAATGGGATCTCTGACAAAATAGCAATTTTTTTCTGTTATTTTTCTTTTCATTCTGAGTTCTATATGAAAAACAATGAAGACTGGCTTAATGTGTTAAATACTTGCAGAGATAAAATGCAGAGCGATGTAGACTTCAAAAAGGGTTTGAGTTACTTATAAGTGAAAACACCAAAGAACAAGGAGAGGAAATGAGTAATGGTGCAGAAAGAATAGCAGGGAAGAAATCACTGAAAGAATAGTCTCTACAACGTTCTAATTGCAATGAATCAGAACTCCTGGTAATAAATGTCTTAAAGTATCTTTGGATGTATATTGAGCTACCAGTGTAAGCCGTTAAAAGTTGGCATAAAAATGCCATGACTATTTTTTATTACAAAGTAATAAATACTACCTTGTACATGTGTGCCGTATGTGTGTATTCAGCTGCAGGTTCATTTTTGAGAAGAATAAATACATAGATATCTTTGATTTGTTCATAATCGAAATGGAGGTGGAAAAATAGGAGAAACTTTAATTGATAAATCTTTTTTTCAGATACTCTAATTGACCCAGCTATGAACTCTAAGCTTATATATCAACATTCTAGTTATATAACTAATATCAGTAATATCAAGCATAATAATGGCTTTCATTTATTAAGTGCTTACTGTGTGTCAGATACTGTAAAAGATACATAATAACATTACTGCCAACATTTGGTATATAGCTACCATTATGCTTATTTTACCGATAAGGAAACTTAGTCAGTATAAAGAGCAGTAAATTCCCTGGAGTCGGATCTAGAACTAGAAATACCATTTGACCCAGCCATCCCATTACCGGGTATATACCCAAAGGATTATAAAACATGCTGCTATAAAGACACATGCACACGTATGTTTATTGCGGCACTATTCACAATAGCAAAGACTTGGAACCAACCCAAATGTCCAACAATGATAGACTGGATTAAGAAAATGTGGCACATATACACCATGGAATACTATGCAGCCAGAAAAAATGATGAGTTCATGTCCTTTGTAGGGACATGGATGAAGCTGGAAACCATCATTCTCAGCAAACTATCGCAAGGACAAAAAACCAAACACTGCATGTTCTCACTCATAGGTGGGAATTGAACAATGAGAACACATGGACACAGGAAGGGGAACATCACACACTGGGGCCTGTTGTGGGGCAGGGGCAAGGGGGAGGGATAGCATTAGGAGATATACCTAATGTTAAATGATGAGTTAATGGGTACAGCACACCAACATGGCACATGTATACATATGTAACAAACCTGCACATTGTGCACATGTACCCTAAAACTTAAAGTATTAAAAAAAAAATTCCCTAGAGTCACACAACTTGGTAAGAACTTTAAGAGCAGGAACTTCATCTTTCTTTTGCACGATTGCATCCCAGAAGCAAGGACAGTGCCTGGCGCATATTAAATAACACCATTAAAATGGTGCATATTAAATAGCACCATTTAATAGCAAAATGTCTGACACTTACAATCCATGTGGCCCCAAAGCATGTGTTTCTTCTGCCAATGCCATACTTTCTACTATGCCATAATACTATTTTAAATTAAAGATAACTAAACCTAAAGTAAAGCAGATCAAAATGTATATTTTTCAAAAGAAAAAAGTAAATAAAAAATAAAAAGCACTTTAATTGTACATTAAAAAGAGGCAATTATTTTTAGCTGTAACTTTGTTTTAATTAACTGTGTGAAAACATTGAAATTTGCACTCCTTTCGAAACACATAATTATAGAAGTTGAACGTTATACTTAATAAAGAGCATCACTCAATGAATGGCAGGGACTTTCACTGATACAAACAAAGAGTAACAATAGAAATACAATTAAAAACCAATCAATTTGTTCATTGCAGTTGTTACGTATATATACAGTTCATTGTTTTATGGGGCTTGTTGTATTGTTTCTCTTGATCCAAAAAATATTCATGCTATCCATTACCTTCTGCTGGATCTCTAATCAAATAAAATGGGAACTATCAGGAAAAATAAGTAAAAAGAGAACAGGAAGAAAATGAAAAATTATAGAAAAGCTATAACCCATGGATCTACTAAGAAACATTATTGAGTATTTTTTGTCCTACAAAATTTAAAAGGAGTTGTGCTAGAATGCAATTCCTTGGTTCCCCAGAACTTCTAGGAGGGATTTTAGATGAACAGAAAAAAAAAAAAAAGGAGAAACTGTTATTTTATTAGAGATTCCATTCACCCAATCCAT
This sequence comes from Homo sapiens, assembly GCF_000001405.40. NCBI lineage: Eukaryota > Metazoa > Chordata > Mammalia > Primates > Hominidae > Homo > Homo sapiens. Next base: position 111,760,190 of record NC_000004.12, read on the forward strand.
TGAATGTGACTTGACAGCCTGTACTTCAGATTTTTTTTAATATAAAAAGACCCAATTATCTTGCCTTTCAGCAGGTCAAAAATAAATTGCTGAGGTAAAATATACAGTACTCTTTGAATCACATGAAGGCATAGTTATTCTCCTTTTAACTCTGTTAAATCATGTAAATTAATTTTTAAAATTTCCTAATATGTTTTTAAAACTTATCTAACACCTGTTAATCTTTTTAGTAGAAAAAAAGAACATTTTTTTCTAGAGCCTTCAATGTCCAGAAATATTTTTTCTCCTTGTAGCCCCAACACACAACACAGAGTACAGCACATAAAAGGAGCTCAATATATGTTTCTCAAATGAAGATGGAGATGAATAATTCAGATAGATAGATAGATAGATAGATAGATAGATAGATAGATAGATAGATAGATAGATCTTGGCCTCAATGTACCTTTAGTATGACCCAGCTAACTGCCATCTCCTGAACTAAGTACTGTAGCTATAATTGTACAGTAAAACAAACATTATGGCAGATCTTAGAAAAGCCAAATATGTTTGCTTTCTAAGAGATGCCTCTTGACTTTCCAAAAGCCTTCAATACCCAAAAGAAGGAAGCTCTGCTGGTAGAAAGATTAGAAATTGGCTCATATTTGAAATCATGAAGACTTGGCCTATAATCCTCCAAAGCCCATTGTGAACATCATTAGCATTCCTCTCTGCAACATTAGCCCAGTCTGAGTTAGTCTTCTTTCACATATTTCAATATATAAATTTTTTACTAATTTATATGCTGATAGAATGTATCAACTGATAGAATCATTTTTTTCTTCCTATTCCCCTTCCATGTAAATCTTTGGTGTACTCATACAGATAAGAAAATTCAGGATCCAGATAATCAGGAATCCACTGAAGAAAGGTATGGTCCATTCAAGAATGCAATGCTCATTAGACAGTTTTGTCATTTCTAGTCAATCATTAAAATTTACACTAAGGCTGCTTTTGTTTTTCTCTCAAAAGTTTGTGTTTTTAAAAATCTTTCAATTATCTATGTATTTTATTGGTTATGCAACCTCATCTCCAATTCCAAAGGGTAATTGAGAGTTAATGGTAGATTGGAATTTTATGTATTATACAGTTAGCCCAATAAGAAAAATGAGTCAGACACCATTAGCTCTTATCCACACTAACCAGTCAGTAAGAATTCCTTATTAATTGTCAGAAAAGTATAACCAAAATCACAGAAAGAGAATTAAACATTCGGGTAAGTTTTTTTCTAGCTTCAATTTTTACTTTTAATAGCAAAATGTGTGACGCTTGCAAGTAACTATACAGTGTTTATAAATCACATTTTGTACTTGTATAAGAATGTTTTAAGTATTCCCAGACAACTTCTGTTACTAGTAAGTTAAAATATTTGACAAGCAGAAGCTGGATATTTTTAGAAAGTCTTTTAAATATGTTTTTCCTTTGCACGGTTCTGAACCACAGAGGCAGCTCAGCTGGCTGAGAAAACGGCATCATTGGGTCTTTTGTGCACTAGTCATTGAAGGTCATCCAAACCCTGCTCAAGTAGCAGCTCAGAAATGCCCCAGTTGAAGAGGGCTTGGGAGGTTAATTCTGTCATTACTGTGTTGACATGAGGCATGTTGCAGCGTTCAGCGCAAAATGTTACTTGTAATCTTTTAATCCCAAATTAGGTCAATATTTTATCAAGTTAATCTAGCATGAAGATTAATTGTATTAGTTACACACACATATACACATGCAGGTTATTTGTTTTAGAAATACTTTTAATCAAAGAGCAAACCTTAGGTTACAATAGGCAATTTTTCACCCCGAAAACTGTAGCACACCTTTTAAAAATTATCCTTTCCCCAACAATATTTATCTTTATAAAAGAGATATTTATTCTTTTAATTGATCTTTAGTCACGAGTGATGTTAGAGAAAGGGTAATGGTCTTATAATCACTGAAACAATGACCATTTAGAAAAACTGTTTATGAAGAAGTGACTTCTGATTGAAATGTTTTTAATAAAGTATCTCATCCTTTGGCCTATTTCAATTTAATTCTATTTGTTTTCTTAAAATGTGTGATTAGTCCTGTAAAGAAAACAAAAATACTTTTCTGTGTTTACTTCTTTGTATCTCTAAGCACGCTTAAAAATATTATAACAAGGAACATGAACTATAGTGGTTTCTAGAAAGTTATATGTAGTTTTATTCCATTATAAAAATTGAAATTGGGAGTCTTCCTTCCCTCCCTTTCTTTTTTAACCTAAAAAGTAGAGCTTAGGGGGTGGGAAGGTGGAGATATATTGATCCAAGTGGCATAAATCTGCTAACAGAAGTCATTAGAGACGACAAACGCCTTTCTCACTCAGTTTCTTAGATAAGAACTATCTGGTAGTTTAAAATTCCCAGGCGTCATTCTGGGTAGTTTTGCAAGCCCTGCTAAATGGCAACACAGAGTTCATGCCCTGTTTCATCAATATCCAATGACATTCTCCAAAGGTTATGCTAATTATAAAGATTTCACAGACAATGTTTGAGATGATTACATTACATCTCAAAATTTTAGCTCTTATCTTTAAATATTGGATTTCTGGCATTCTTTGTTAGTGGAAAATGATAGGTAAAAGGACCCAAGAATATTTTCTTGTGATTAGCCCTTTGAATTCATTAACACATTAAAATCAAATCCTTCATGTGAAGAATAAGTAACAAAAGATGTCAGTATCAGACACCTCTAAGAAGAGGATCGTTGACTATATTTGGAAGTAAAATTCACAATCCTGAATGTCAACATTACAGTTATAAAGTTGAGGTAGCCATGCTAAAGAAACATGCCAAACAATTCTTTATTTTTCCACTGCCTACAGTGTAATATTCTTCTCACAATAAATATGAAGAAAAACACACTTCAATTTGCAGCATGAAAAGTGAAATTTATAGGTATCAGTACATACATCAAAAAAAGAAAAACATTTTTTAAAATAACCTAATAATGCATCTTAATGAATTAGAAAAGCAAAAGCAAACTAAACCCAAAATTAGTAGGAAAAAAAAGAAATAAAGATCAGAGCAGAAATCAATGTAACTGAAATGAAGAAAATACAAAATATTAGGATGCAAAGTTGTTTTTTAAAAAAGATAAAATTGACAAACCTGTAGCCAGACTAAGAAAAGAAGAGAGATATCCCAAATAAGTAAAATCAGAGATGAAAAAGGAGACATTGCAACTGATATTACAAAAATCCAAAGGATCATTCGTGGCTACTGTGAGCAACTGTATGCCAATAAATTGGAAAATCCAGAGAAAATGGACAAATTCCTAGACACACACAACCTACCCAGATTGAACCAGAAGAAATCTGAAGTCTAAACAGACCAATAACAAAGCGATATTAGAAAGTCTCCAAGTAAAGAAAAGCCTGAGACTCAATAGCTTCGCTGCTAAATTCTACCAACATTTAAAGAAGAAATAATGCCAATCCTATTCAAACTATTACAAAATGTAGAAGAGGAGGGAATACTTCCAAACTCATTCTAAAAGGCCAGGATTACTCTGCTACCAAAATCAAAGACATATCAAATATGATTATTATGCATTGCATGCCTATATCAAAATAACTCATGTAACCCATAAATATATATACCTACTATGTACCCATGAAAATGTTTTTAAAAATTATAACCTTGGATTTCTCTCTTAGGAGATTATACTTCTATTGGACCAGTCTAGGATTGTCTTTTTCTTTTTCATGTTAAAATTATAACTTTTATGAAATTATAAAAATGCTAGATAAAGGGTTTTTTCCCCCAAATCTTCATTAAAATCCTACTTGACCAACAGAAAAAAAATGGCTAAGCAGATGAGGGACCCTCTCCAATAAAATACATATATGTATACTGTTTCATGAAAACCCTATATCTGGGAACTCCTGGATCGATAACTAACATTTCTTCTAATATGAAGGCCTTGTTGTTCCAAATTGTCCCCACTCACTTATTTCTCCCACCCTACTTAACAGCTTATCACCAGCAAGCAGATTCCCATACGTGATAACTAATGAAAGAAAACTTAATGTGTCCTAATTCTTTATACAAGAATTAGGTCTTTTGACAGAGATGTATTTCTTTTCTCCATGGCTCTCTGGTGTAAAACAGGAATACTGGTGGTGATTTAAAAAAATTACCCAGCATCAGAAACAAAAGCAAACAAACCGACTGTGTAGTATTATTGCAGAGCATAGAGAACATGCTGGGGTGGGTAGAGGGGATTTAGATGGAGAGTGCATTGCTATCCCTTGAAATCGTTAGATGTGCAGCTACTTAATACATGAACTTTTAAAAATGCATTAAATGTATACATACATATAAAATGATTCATACCTATCTTTTAAATAGAACAACATGGAGAGACTTTAGAGAATTGTTTTATTATTCAGACATGTCATTTCCAAAAATATTTTGGTAATTAAATCCAAAATTATTTTCACAACGAATATACTCTACAAATGTGACATGATTTTTTGGAGGGTGGGTAGAAGTCCCATAAGACAAATACAGTACTACAAAATAACAAAAGTGTTCTTCCTGCAACTTTTCAGTTTTAGAAAAACATGTTTTTTTAATTTGTTTGGATTTTTTTTCTTTTGTGCAACCTAAAGTAACTACTTTTATGGTTTTGTCCCTTTGTTTTCCATTTATTTTACTTGCTTTGACTATTTTAAAGTGAAACTGAAAAAAAAAACAATTTTTTACAAATGTGTCAGCAACTTTTTTTTTACTTTAGGTTCAGGGGTACATGTGCAGGTTTGTTATATAGGTAATTTGTGTGTCACAGGGGTTTGGTGAACAGATTTTGTCACCCAAGTACTAAGCATAGTACTCAATAAGTACTTCTTTAATCGTCACCCTTCTTGCTCTCTCCACCCTCAGGTAGACCCTGATGTCTGGGCCTGTTGTTACCTTCTTTGTGTCCAAATGTACTCAATGTTGTTACCTTCTTTGTGTCCATATGTACTCAATGTTTAGCTCCCTAAGTGTGAATATGTGGTATTTGGTTTTCTGTTCCTATGTTAGTTCACTTAGGATAATGGCCTCCACTTCCCTCCACCTTACTGCAAAAGACATGATCTCATTCTTTATTATGGCTGCATAGTATTCCATGGTGTATTTGTATCACATTTTCTTTATCCAATCTACCACTGATGGGCATTTAGGTTGATTCCATGTCTGTGCTATTGTGAATAGTGCTGCAATGAACATATGCATGCATGTGTCTTTATGTTAGCATGACTTATATTCCTTTGGGTATATACCCAGTAATAGGATCACTGGGTTGAATTGTACTGCTGCTTTGAGTTCTTTGAGAAATTGCTAAACTGCTTTGCACAATGGCTGAATTAATTCACATTCCCCCCAGTGGTGTATAACCATTCTTTTTTTCTGCAGCATCACCAGCATCTGTTATTTTTTGACTTTGTAATAATAGCCATTCTGACTTATGTGAGATGGTATCTCATTGTGGCTTTGATTTGCATTTCTCTAATGATCAGTAATATTGAGCATTTCTTCATAGGCTTGTTGGCCATATGTATGTCTTCCTTTGAAAAATGTCTGCTCATATCCTTTTCCCACTTTTTAATGGGGTTAATTTTTGGTTGTTGATTTGTTTAAGCTCCCTATAGATTCTGGATATTAGGCCTTTGTTGGATGCATAGTTTGTGAATATTTTCTCCCATTTGGTAAGTGCTCTGTTTACTCTGTTGATAGTTTCATTTGTTGTGCAAATGAGGTCCCATTTGTCAATTTTTGTTTCTGTTATTATTGTTTTTGGCATCTTCATCACAAAATCTTTGCCAGGTCCTATGTCCTGAGTGGCATTCCCTAGGTTATCAACAAGGGTTTTATAGTTTCTGTTTTTTATTTATAGTATAAGGAAGGGGTCCAGTCTCAACCTTCTGCATATGGCTAGCCAGTTATCCTAGCACTATTTATTGAATAGGGAGTCCTTTCCCCATTGCTTGGTTTTGTTGACTTTCTCAAATATCAAATGATGGTAGATGTGCAACTTTCTTTCTGGATTCTCTATCCTGTTCTATTGGTCTATGTTTTTGTACCAGTAACTTGCTCTTTTGGTTACTGTAGCCTTATAGAATAGTTTGAAGTCAGCTAATGTGATGCCTCTAGCTTTGTTCCTTTTGCTTAGGATTGCTTTGACTATTCGGACTCTTTTTTGGTTCCATATGAATTTTTAAATAGTTTTTCCTAATTCTGTGAAGAATGTCATTTGTAGTTTGATAGGAATAGTATTGACTCTTTAATTGCTTTGGACAGTAGTTTTTCCTAATTCTGTGAAGAATGTCATTTGTAGTTTGATAGGAATAGTATTGACTCTTTAATTGCTTTGGACAGTATGACCATTTTAACAATGTTGTTTCTTCCTATCCATGAGCATGGAATGTTTTTCCATTTGTGCATGTCATCACTGATTTATTTGAGCAATGTTTTGTAATTCTTACTGTAGAGATCTTTCACCTCACTGGTTAGCTGTATTTCTAGGTATTTTATTCTTTCCATGGCTATTTTGAATGTGATTTGACCCTTGATTTGGCTCTCAGCTTGAGTGTTGCTGGTGTATAAGGTGCTACTAATTTTGTATATTGATTTTATCTCCTGAAACTTTGCTGAAGTTGTGTATCAGGTCTTGGAGGCTTTGGGCAAAGACTATAAGACTTTCTAGGTATAGAATTATAACATCTACAAACAGGGTAATTTGACTTCTTCTCTTCCTATTTGGATGCCCTTTATTTCTTTCTCTTACCTGATTGTTCTGGCCAGGACTTCCAGTGCTATGTTGAATAGAAGTGGTGGGAGGGAGCATCCTTGCCTTGTTCCAGTTGTTCAAGGAAAATGCTTCCAGCTTTTGCCCATTCAATATGATATCGGCCGTGGGTTTTTCATAGATGTATATTACTATTTTGAAGTATGTTCCTTCAGTGCCTATTTTGTTGAGGCTTTTTAACATGAAGGGATGTTGAATTTTACGGAAAACCTCTTTTTTTGGCATATATTGAGGCAATCATGTGGTTTTTGTTTTTAGTTCTAATTATGTGATGCATCACATTTACTGACTTGCATATATTAAACCAACCTTGCATCCCAGGGATAAAGCCTACTTGATTGTGGTGGATTAGTTATTTGATGTGCTGCTGGATTTGGTTTGCTAGTATTTCGTTGAGGAATTTTGCATCTATGTTCATCAAGAATATTGGCCAGAAGTTTTCTTCTTTTGTTGTATCTATGCCAGGTTTTGGTATCAGGATGATGCTGGCCTCATACAATGAGTTAAAAAGGAGACCCCTCTTCTCAATTGTTTGGAATAATTTCGTAGAAATGGTACCAGCTCTTTCTTATACATTGGATAGAATTCAGCTGTGAGTTTGTCTGGTCCTGGGCTTTTTCTGATTGAACCAGTAATAAAAATTCTACCAATTTCAGAACTTGTTATTGGTCTGTTCAAGGATACAATTTCTTCTTGGTTCAATCTTGGGATGTTACAGTTCCCAGGAATTTATTCATTTCTTTTAGGTTTTCTAGTTTGTGTGCATAGAGGTTTCATAGTCTCTAAAGGTTTTTTTTTTTTTTATTTCTGTAGGTTGAGTAGTAATGTCCCCTTTGTCATTTCTGATTGTTGTTATTTGGACCTTCTCTCTTTATTAGCCTAGCTGGTGATCTTATTAATTCTTTCAAAGAACCAGCTCCTGGATTTGTTGATCTTTTGTATGGTATTCTGTGTCACAATTTCCTTCAGGTCAGCTCTGATTTTGGTTATTTCTTGTCTTCTGCTAGCTTTGGGATCAGTCTGCTCTTAGTTCACTAGCTTCTCTAGCTCTGATGATAGGTTGTTAATTTGAGATATTTCTAACTTTTTAATGTTGATGTTTAGTGCTATAAACTTCCCTCTTAATACTGCTTTAACTGTGTCTAGAGATTCTGGCATATTGTATCTTCTTTCTCATTAGTTTTAAAGCATTTCTTTATTTCTGCCTTAAGTTTATTATTTATCCAAAAGTCTTTCAGGAACAATTTTTAATTTCCAGTAATTATATGGTTTTGAGCAATTTTCTTACTATTGATTTCTATTTTTATTGCACTGTGGTCTGAGAATGTGGTTGGTATGATTTCAGGATTTTTTTTTACTTTGCTGAGGGTTGTTTTATATCTGATTGTATGGTTGATTTTAGAACACATGCCACTGCACATAAGAAGAATGTATATTCTGTTGTTTTGGGGTGGAGAGTTCTGTAGATGTCTATTAGGTCCATTTGGTCAATTGTTGTATTCAGGTCCTGAATATCTTTGTTAGTTTTCTGCCTTGATGATCTGTCTAATACAGTTAGTGGGGTGTTGAAGTCTCTCACTACTATTGTGTGGTTATCTAAGTCTCTTTGTCTCTAAGAACTTGCTTTATGAATCTGGGTGCTTCTGTGTTGGGTGCATATATATCTAGAATACTTAGGTCTTCTTGCTGAATTGAACCCTTTACCATTATGTGATGCCCTTCTTTACCTTTTTTGATTTTTGTTAAAGTCTGTTTTGTTTAAAATTAGATTAGAAATCTCTAATTTTTTCTGATTTCTGTTTGCTTGGTAGATTTTTCTTCATCCCTTTACTTTGAGCCTATGGTTGTCATTGCATGTGAGATGGGACTCTTGAAGACAACATACAAGTGGGTCTTGCTTCTTTATCCAACTTGCCACTCTGTGCCTTTTGATTGAGGCATTTAACCCATTTACACTCAAGGTTAGTATTGATATGTGCAAATTTGATCCTGTCATTGTGTTATTAGCTGATTATTATGCAGACTTATTTGTGTGGTTTCTTTATAGTGCCACTGCTCTATGTACTTAAGTGTGTTTTTATAGTATCTGATAACAGCCTTTCCTTTCATATTTGGAATTCCCTTCAGGAAATCTTCTAAGACAGGTCTGGTTGTCATGAATTCCCTTAGGATTCATAATATCCTGGAAAGGATATTATTTCTCCTGCACTTATGAAGCTTGGTTTGTCTGCATATAAAATTCTTGGTTATTAATTCATTTCTTTAAGAATACTGTATATAAGCCCCCAATTTCTTCTGGCTTGTAAGGTTTTTGCTAAAAGGTCCACTGTTAGCTTGATGGTGTACCCTCTGTAGGCGACCTACCCTTTCTCTATAGCTGCCTTTTTCATTTTTCTCTTTCATTTTAATCTTGGAGAATCTGAGGACTGTGTGTCTTCAGGATGGTCTTCTTGTATAGTATTTCACAGGGCTTCTCTGCATTTCCTGAATTTGAATGTTGCCTTCTCTAGCACAGTTGGGAAAGTTTTCATGGGTGATATTCTGAAATAAATTTTCCAACCTTCTCACTTCCTCTGCCTCTCTTTCAGGGATCCCAATGTGTCATAGATTTGATCCCTTTACATAATCCCATATTTCTCAGAGGTTTTGTTTATTCTTCTTTTTCTTTATTTTCATCTGACTTATTTCAGATAACCAGTCTTCAAGTTCTGAGATTCCACAGCTTGGTTGATTTTGCTGTTAACATTTGGAATTGTATGCTGAAATTCTTGAATTAAGTTTTCAGCTTTATTAGATCAGTTTTTTCCTTCTTAAAATGGTCATTCCATATTTCATCTCCTGTAGCATTTTATTTCTTTGAATCCTTAGATTGGATTTCAACTCTCTCCTGAATCTCAATGATCTTCATTCTTACCCATAATCATAATTCTGTTTCTGTCATTTCAGCCATTTCATCGTGGTTAGGAACCATTGCAGAAGAAGTCACTCTGGGCTGTGTATAGTAGTTGACACCTATAATCCTGGCACTTTGGGAGGCTGAGGCAGGAGGATCACTTGAGCTCAGTAGTCTGAGACTAGCCTGGGCAACATAGTGAGATGTCATCTCTATTTAAATAAATAAACAAATAGAAGTCTCTCTGGATTTTTGAGCTGCCAGAGTTCTTGCACTGGTTCTCTCTCATCTTTGTGGGCTGATCTTCATTTAGTCTTTGAGCTTGCTGTCCTTTAGATGTGTTTTTTCTTTCATCTTCTTTGATGTCCTTGGGGGGTTTGATTGTACTATAAGGGTTCAGTAAACTAGCTTTGTTTCTGGAAGAGTTCAGGGGGCCAAAGCTCAGCTCAGCATTCCTGGGCTGCATGCTCTGACTCTGGGAGGCTATTAATGGGCTCCCAGCTTTGTTCTCTGGCCCCTTGATGTTAGGATTCTGCTGTGCTGGAGGGAACAAGCGGTTCCAAGACCGTAGTCTACAATATTTTGATAAGCGGTGCCAGTCAAAGCACTTTGTTGGGTGGTAGCAGCAGGATCCATGCTTGTTCACACGTGAAAGTGGCAGCAGCACATAGCAGGGTACATGCTCATCAACCGGGTTGGGACACTGGCAGGCGTGGAAATGCTGGCTTCCATGATGGTGTTTGCAGCAGCAGCTGTGGCAGCACAGGGCTGGGGGTAGGGCAAGGGGCAGGGCTGCTGGCAATGTCAACACCAGGGGCCGGGTGCATGCAGGCGCAGGGCTGATGGCCTTCATTCACAGTCCGTGCCACTGGCAATGGTGGTATGGGGTAGAAAGGGGGTGCAGAGCCGCTCCACACTTGATAGACCAAGGCAAGTATAGATTGAACTATACAACTAATGGTAGCAGATCAATAACAATTTCATGCATAAAACTTTGAAAGCATTATTGTCCACATCAATTGTATAGTTGACTATGTGTTTCTGGGACAATTGGCATATCTTATGTAACACATATGTATGGAATCACTTTTCTAAGCAGTGCATATATTAGGCAAGTGAGTCAACTACTCTGCAGCTACCATACTCTGCTAAGTTAAATCTACCAACTTCCCTTTAGCAAGTGCTCTGAAGTTAATTATTTTAGCATTTAAATGAGGTTTCCTGCAAGGATTCATCAGTGTTAAGTTATAATCATCCAGAAAATGGCCAAAGCCTCAAGCATCAGTGATTTGATATAACTTTATAGTGTTTAAAATTAGTCATAATTAGTGTCTAAATACTTGAGTGGTAATCTTAAGGTCATAGTCCCGTTTATTTTTTATTTTTATCATAGTATACTTATATGTTAAGTACAAAACCAATTTGGAATACACAATTGTGATGCATGTTTTCTCCTATCATTTTATTTTTAACAATGTCAAACCTACAGAAAATTGACAAAAATAGTAAATAAACAGCCATACAACATCTTCATTTGGTTTTACTAGTTGCCAACATTGTCATATTTACATGCTCATGCTCTCTCTCATGTGTTTATATGTACACATATTCACATATATACACACACTTTCTGCAGCTATGCATGTATATATATATATACATGTAATTTTATATATTATATATATGTAGCTGAATCATTTTGGATTTAGATGTACATTTGTAATTTTAGTCTTAAGGCTAGGTCTTATCAAATGTCATGAATAAAATAACATGTTTTACTTCTATTTTAATGCTTGTGTTGCCTTTCCCATGAAAATTTAACAAGGTTAATATAATATTTAGAAATGAAAGGAATATTATCTTTTTTTCAATTACCACAGTTAAGTCATATTTTACTATTTTACTTAAACTAACTAGTATCTGGTCTCCACTACTATATTGCCTCTCCACCTTCCACGCCCACGCCTATTCTATACTTTCAAGAACAGCCTAAGATCTTCTAAAACTGGAATCAAATCATGCCACTGCCTACTTGGATTACTCTGTGATTTCCCATCTCATTCAAGTGTTAAAGCCTACATTCTTAAATGGCCTACAGAAAACTGCACTGACTCCTTCCCTGTACCCCTTATCATCTCTAATTGCTCCTAAAGGACCAGGAAAGCTTTGACATCAGTGCCTTAGCACTTTGACTTTGCTTGTCTATTTTTTATTTTTATCATAGTATATTTATATGTTCTGCTTGGAACGTTCTTTTGTCAATACCCTCATGGACTGCTTCTGTGTTTTTAGATTTTTGACCTATATATTATCTTCTCATGAAGTTTTCTTAGCCAAGGTTTAAAAACTGTTTTTGAAATGCAAGCACTCTCTATCCTCCTTCCTTGTTTAATTTTGATCATGAGTACTTAGCAATATCTAATATATTATATCTTAAGAAATTTATGAACATGCAAGCTTCAGAAGATGTCTATTTTGTCTGCTGCTAAATTGCCAGCCCTGTAATGGTGCCTGCCACATAGGAGGTGATTTCTAGTTTTTTTAAAAAATGAGCGAATGATACAAATACAAATGAAGCAAATAATAAAGGTAATAATATTAAAGTTTAATCATCTTTTGTTCCTATTAGTTTCTTGAAGATAGTGTTAACAATATCAATGCCTCAATTTGGCAAGCATTTTGTGTTTTCCGCCATCTTCCACATATTATCGACTGTATGTTACCTTTTGCTGCATAACAAATTACCCCCAAACTTAGTGCCTAATGACAAAAGTGTTTGTTATCTCAGTCCCTTTGCTGTTAAATCTGGGTACAGCTTAGCTGGTGCCCCTGTTTCTACATCTCTTGTCACATCTCTCACGGGACTCTGGTCAGACTGTCGGCTAACTCTGCACTCATCTCAAGGCTTTCCAGGGCTGGGGGTCTGCTTTCAGGTTCACTTGTGTCATTACTGGCTGGTCTAGGTTCTTACTGCATGCCCACTGTACACGTTTTCTGAGTGTCCTTGTGACTTTGTAGCTGGTGAGCTGAGACAGACAAAGAGAGCTAAAAAGGGCTTTAAGACAGAAGCCACCATCTTTTACAACCTAATCTCAGATGTAACATCTCCGTGTAGCCCTCATCCAGGGGGAAAACATTACACAGGGTGTGAAAACCAAGAGCCAGGGATCACTGGAGGCCACCAGAGCATGCCTAGGGTACTGGTCATTTTATAGATATAGAGAATAAAACCTAGAGATATCAATTTTTCCAGTTTATTCAGTTAAAAGTAAATTAGAGTAATTCTAATTCTCTGCTAATCATCCTTTCAGGATTACTGATAAATTAAAATATAATAATTATTATTCCCAAAATGAACATATATTTTTGCTTTGCTATGTACCAGACAAAATTAAGTACTTTATATATGTCACCGCATTTAATCCATAAAACAACCCTCTATAATAAGTATACTTATTAAATATATTTACAGATAAGAAAAATGAGGAACAGAGAATTAAAATAACTTTCTCAGGGTCATACAGATAAAAAGTGTCAGGGTTAGCATTCAAACCTGGCAGTCTGGCTTGAGAGATTGGCTTCATAAGCCATACTCTATACTGTGTGCCTCTTAGACACAAGAAAACAAAGTAAGTGACTGTCTTAAGCTCATCGGGATTCATTTTGTAACTCTTTTTTAAACTTAAAGCAACAAGAGAATTTTACTGTTATCTTAATGTTTATCTGGTGAGGAAACACATACTACAGGAAAAAAACACCTCAGATTTAAAGTTATATCCATTGGGTATACAGCTCAACAGTGAAAAAATAATAGAACAAATATGTGTTCGTGGTCAGATTGACCCTGAATAGAGTGTCTAATGCTGACTGTGTTGTTCTAGAGTGAATATTGCTTCCCTCTTCCAAAGAAATAAGAAAGCCACACACAGAGAATACCATCCAGTGCATGGGAAATACATATCCTCCTCTCTTTCTTCTTTCTAGTTTATAAAAGTTCCCCTTCCAAATGGCAATAAGTCACTTCAGAGAATGCATTTTCTAAAGGATGATTGCCCTTCTTGAGTAGTGATGCACTTAAGGCAGGCATGCAGTAATCCCCAGAAATGTACTGCCTGGAGTGTCTTATTGCTTAATTAGAGCTGGCACGGGGCCACTTCTTCTCAGCCTTGAATTAACGCAAGAGCAGTGGAAGGAGGCACAGGTATAAGATGTGCTATTTCAGGAGGATATAAAGTAATGGCACAGTGCCAGTCTGCAGAAAACAAAGCCAAACACTCCTGCTACGACAATGAAATATCAAAATGCCTGGCTTCATTGTAGTCAGAGATTAAGTCCATCACTGTGCCCATGACCAGGGCTTAAACATGATCTCTGTTGTTCTAAAAGACTTTATAATCTTCACTCATAGGACCACAGGCCATGAAAGCACCCAGTAATTTGGAAGATATCACAGAAAGTTAATTGTAGGAGTCCAGAAGCTATATGTTGAAGAATTTTAGACCAAGATCACAGACTAGCAAATTATTATAATAAACATAACTTTTCCAAACAGAAGGAGGAAGTCATAATTTTAATTATGTAAACACATCCTCTTAACTTCCTTGAAAAGCCTACCCTTTTTTTTTGTTTTAAATAATACCATACTTTATCAAAGAGCAAACAGCTAGTCCACACCAACTGCATGATGAAACACCATGGCTCCAGCCAATGCCCACCCAGCTTTCCCATCTGCTCAAGGGCCTTCTGGAGAAGTTTGGCGAGCATCAGCAACACTTTACAACATACAGCAAGTTCTACTTTTCCATAATCCCTACATTAGCAACTTTCTATTTAAGTACTGAGACATTCTAGCTGGGGGTCACAGCACCCTGTCAACTAGACCCTTTGTTCTTTCCTCAGTGATTTTTCTGCCTTGCCTAGAGTTTCCATGAAGAATAAGGCAAGCTCCTTAATTGAAACAACTCTTGTCAACAAAAAACATCAACTCTGTCCACTGACAGAATGGAGCATAAGAACAAATCTTTGTTTTCACAATGAATGTCAATGGAAAACTTTATGTGATTATTCTTTAACAATCTTATACAACCATCTGATACTTATATTCTTCTTTCACAACCAGGGCTCTGTCTAAATCAACAGTTTATTGAATACCCACTGTGTTCTCATGGATATAAACCAGCCTTCTCTAGCAGTCACAATGTACCTAAAGGCCTAGAATCTGTAAGAAATTATTACTGGAAGTCAAGACCAGCTACATAATATGTGGGGCCCAGGGCAACATGAGGCTCCACTGAGGATAGAATTCTGTGGTATTACATGTGTGTCATGCCCACAGAGCTGGCCCTGCAGGAAGTCTAAAACATGATATGTGAAATGCAATTAAATACATATGCTCAATAGCATTGTTACATAGGAAGCTTTTTATGTGTCAAGGTAGCCTGTTAATTTAGTCCTTTCTAGTTAATTCAGCAAAACAAGCAAACACCTTCATTTTCCCCCACACCAACCAAAAAAACAGTATCTTAGAACAAGAAAATCTATTCTCAGGTAACTTGTGCTCACACCCTGTTGGCAAGGCTGGTGAATGTAATGACTAAAATAAGAATTTAAAAAATACTATTACGAACGTGCTATAGTCTATTAAAGAGAAAGTGCCATTAATGTGTAAAACCTTTTCAAAATGAAAGACAAGTACCTAAGGAAAAGAAACTTCAGGAGGGGAGGGGAGGAGGAGGAGTCCATAGAGAAAATCTGGCAGAGAGATAGCTTCCTAGTTCCAGTAGAGTTTTCGCAGCATCATGTTTTGTAACTTAACTTTCAGTTTGAAGCCTAGTGTTCACAATTGTAACATCCATAAATACTGCAAACCTTCCACAGGCATTTCTGTTTTTCTTCAAATAGTGTTCATTTGTCCACCGTGTGGAACTGGGAAACAGCTGACATCAGTCTTGACAGTGTTGGAGAGGCAGGTTACAGAGTCCCCTGGTGAAAAGGTACACAGAGCAGTGATGCCATAGGTTGAGTTACCTCATAGCTAAGACCTGCCCAGCAAGGACCGGAGTTAAATATATGTGCTGATAAATGAAGTAATCGTTGATGTTCCAGGCAAGTGTTTCCAAAGCTGGGATTTTACTGGATCATATCAAATGAGGGAGGAGACACAGATGTATCTTCCCAACTGGGAGGGGGGGAACAGTGTTACAGCTCAGAAGGAAACTATGTGTGATGCATATGTGCTCAGTTACACTAAGATGCCTTTCCTTTTCACATATATCTAGAATATGCAATTTATTTCAGTGTTTATGTATTGCTTGATGTTCTATCAACTTGGGAAAAAAAAGTGAATGTTCCTAAAAATGTCTTCATGGAATGGAATTATAACTTGTTTGTTTAGATAACTTTTGTTTATCTCTTTGAGTTATTCCGATACTGACAGTGACTCATACCACTGTCTTACCTCTATCCAAACCATGCAGTCAGGAAAGACTCTTAGGAAAGTATCTTTTTGGTTGTTTTATTAGCATAAAATATTATCTTCTTCCTTTGGCATTTTCTTCACAAACTCCTAATTTTATAGTTGTGGCATATTTTGAAAGCATTTAAAAGCATTGGGATATAATATTTTTTTTCAATGAGTAAATCACGTATGACCTTACCATATGTGAGAAAGCACTAATTTTGCTTCTATTTTTAGATATATGTTCAGGGTTTATCACTGACTTGCTGAATGAAAACTTTACCTTTGAAGACAGAGCCAAAGACATGCAATAATATAAAATGAGAAGATTGTACTCTTGCCTCTGACTCAGGGGACTGTGGTTTGTCTCTAGGTTTAAGACCAGAGGAGGACTGTGTGAGTCTTAAACCTCCCCAGCCCCCCACACTTAGCAATCTTTCTATGTATGGAACTTCCCACTATATTTAAACACATAGTCTGCAAGTTTGAAGGAGACCATGTGCAGCTCTAGAAATCAAGAGTAAGATTTAAAAGCCTTTTCTATAACACTGTAAATCTAATTCTTCCTTACTCCTAATTCCACAGTTTATGTACATACAGAAAATTTCCTTTTACCTTTCCTTCCTTCCATCTTTCCTTCCCTCCTTTCTTCTGTCCTGCCTTCATTCTTTCCTTCCTCTCTTCTGATTGTCATGAAGTTCTTGTGCTAGAGATCACCACTGAACTTTCTAGGACCATTCTGACTACGCCCCAGCATCTAGGAAGGTAGTGATGGGATAAACAGGAGGCTGGACATTCTTTGCGTTCTCCCTTGATTGATGGGGGTTATTGGATTGCTCGCATGCTCTTTACTTATTTAACATCCAAAAAGTCAACCACTATTAAAAGATATGTTTAATTAGATGTCAGTGAAGTAAGCTGAATTCATGCAGCCATAAATTTAAATTGGCAACTCTAACCTTAGGTTTCTTAAATGGTTTAGACAACTATTTTGTTCAGGCGGTAATGTTAGTACATGTTCTGTCTTACATTACTACTTCAAGACGAAAATGAGTACGAAATTTATTTTTTCCAGCATAGCCATAAATTCGTGGGGTTTTTTTATTTAAAAGCTTATGGAAAAAAATAGTCTCAGCATCCTGATTTATGTCATCTCTTTCACTCTCTCTCTCTCTCTCTCTCTCTCTCTCTCTCTCTCTCAGTTAAAAACTGATTGTCTGTTGTCTGTTTTTCCAGTAGCAGCATATCCTTACGGCATTTTTCCAGCCATAATAACAGTTTACAAGATGCTTTATTCAGAAGAACATAAATGAAATACATTCAGTTCCATCTTCCTTCTTTTATGTGTGCTACTGGATTTCTGCATTCCAGTTGGA
Source organism: Homo sapiens (assembly GCF_000001405.40). Taxonomy (NCBI): domain Eukaryota; kingdom Metazoa; phylum Chordata; class Mammalia; order Primates; family Hominidae; genus Homo; species Homo sapiens. The sequence continues at coordinate 111,777,762 of NC_000004.12, forward strand.
ACCACAGTAGCAAATGTGCTGAAAAATCAGTTTAAAAATCATTTTTTTCTCAATTGCCATTAATTTAGAAAATTCTGCTGCTAATTTTGGAAAATTGTAATTTAAATATTCAAGAAACCTGTAAAAGTGTTTTCTATTATACCTTATCATACATTATCATACGTTTGATCTACTTCACATTTCATTGACTGAAAAGGAATGATCTGTTATTCTTTATGTTGGTATTGTCTATTTGAGATACTTACCCTTAGTAAAAATGTAGCAAGAATGGCTAATTTGTGGGACCCAGAGCTAAATAAAAATAGGAGCCTCTTATTCAAAAGTTATTAAGAATTTCAAGACAGTTATAACAGAGCATTAAACCAAGCACTAGAGCTGAGTGCAGAGTCTTGTGTAGCAGCTCAGGTCAGACGCCTGTGGAAAGTGGCCCTGATGGGAGCATATTTCAGCTCCTTCTAAATCCTACACTCTGTAACCACATTTCCTGCCACTAATCTATCTAGGGATGCGCAAACCTCAAAAGGTGGGGATTTTTTATTTCTATTTCCAGGTATCAAGTAGATATGGGTTTTCACAAATGACTTTGGCTAGAAAACAAAGTTGTTTTTTTTTTAATGTTTCTTGAGCTTTGGGATTTCAGCCAGGTTGGTAAAAATCTCAGTAAGATTTTTCTAAGATAGAAGAATCCCAGTGCCCCATGTGAACATATTGGTGATGGGGGTCTGGGAGGGTAAAGCTCTCAGAGTTGGGATTTGCTCAGTTGGACTGCTTCCCTTATCTTTAAGTTCCATTAATTGATTTTGGTGAAGTGCAAATTTTTTGCTGAAGAGAGATAAATAGGATCCACACAATAATAGCATCAACTTTAACCAACAAGCCATGCAGTCATTGATTTAGTTAGTCTGGTAGTCATCAGTCAGCATTTTATTCCCTATGGGCAGCGCCTCCATGAAGAAGGTGGTCCAGAAAAGCAAAGAAGGGAAGAGAGTCCACAAGGCAAATGCTGCCATCTAGAGAGGCAGAGAGGAGAACATGCTGACAGTGGTAATTTTCCAAATAAAATTAGAACAAAAATAAAAACCCTTGTCAGGCAGTGAGTGTGAAAATTTCCCAAGAAGAGATCATCCCTTTGAAGAAATCAGCATTTCATTAAAAGGTGCCATTTGGAATCCATCTAATTTGAGATGAAAGATTATTCTGCTAATAATTCCACATCAGGGAACCTACCAAGAGATTTTTTGTTGTTGTTTAAGCAGGGACTTTTAAAGGTGATTTTCCTAAGGCTGAGTAAAATAACTGCATGACAGCTAATTGTTTGACCTGTCTAAAAAAGAAATGAGTGTGTAACTGTGTTTCTGTTTTACCTTGTTTAAACAAACAAAAAATAGCACAAGGAAGTTGAATTATCTGAAGTATACTGGTCAGTTTACCTCTTTTTTCATGATACCGTGCAAAGACATCCTGCTTGCTCTCTAAGAGGCTTTAAACAAGTAGGAATTGCAAAAATCAAGCAGAGGCACAACACAAACAGACGGCTAAAAAATACCTGAAAAATCAAGGGGAAAGACAGGGATCTAGCTTGTCTCCACATATTACATGTGCAGAAATTTAAACAACTCAATAAACAGCACATACTGAGATGGTAATGCCCTAATTTTTTCAGTTAGAAATGCCCAAAACATTTATAGTGACTCTTACTGGGGAATACATTGCCTAGATTACTGGACAATTGAATTCCCACTTAGGAAATATCCTAAATCATTTTACAATCAAAGCAGTATGAATGGAAGTAAGCTGTATAGTGTTGGGGTGTTTTTTTGTTTTGTTTTGAGACAGAGTCTCGCTCTGCTGTCCAGGCTGGAGTGCAGTGACGCCATTTTGGCTCACTGCAACCTCTGCCTCCCGGGTTCAGGTGATTCTTCTGCCTCAGCCTCCTGAGTAGCTGGGATTACAGGCGCCCGCCACTACGCCTGGCTACTTTTTGTATTTTTAGTGAAAATGGGGTTTCACCATGTTGGCCAGGCTGGTCAAGAACTCCTGACTTCAAGTGATCTGCCTGCCTCGGCTTCCCAAAGTACTGGAATTACAGCACTTTGTGAGCCACCGCACCTGGCCAATTGAAGTAAACTATACAGTTGTTTTTTTTTGTTTTTTTGGGTTTTTCTGGCTATTCAGAATTTGTCTATGTGAAAAGTTTTGAAATTTAATATTGTACTGTAAATTTCAAATTTTTATGAGCTATATACTTATCGCAAATATATTTTGATAGTATGTGTAAATATATGTAAACACAAGTATATTATGCTTATGTTCATAATTTTAAATTATTTAAAAATGTACAAATTGAGATCTGCCATTTAAATTTGTTTAAATAGAAGGGCTAATGTCTCTGCTTATCTAGTAATAAGAATAGCTATAATTATTTGAGTAATATTATAAGCATTATTCATTAATTTAGCAAATACTTATTAAGCACCTACTATACCTCAGGCACTATTATATGTGCTGGAGATGCAGTAGCGAACAAATATAGATGCATAGCTCAGTGTAAGCCTCATAATATCCCATAAGCCGTAAATGCTTCCCAATTTAGGGCAATTTGCCCAAAATCTTACTGCTTACTAGTGAGGGAGCAGATTTTGAATACAGTTTCTGCTTATTTATAAATCATATTTTTTATGCCACATTGTGTTGCCTCCCATATAGTAACGCCCTTTCTGCTCTGATGGAAGTTTTAAGAAATAAGTTTTTATTTTCAATGATTTGTGAAGCTGTAACAGGTGAATATCAGTATGGAACTTGGAAAGTTTATTATAGTTTGTTGAAAACACTTAAATTCTTCATAGGCAACATCACCAGTCATTACGAATTGCAAATCAAAACCACAATGAGGCTGGGCACAGTGGCTCACATCTGTAATCCCAGCACTTTGGGGGGCTGAGGCAGGTGGATCACTTGAGGTCAGGAGTTTGAGCCCAGCCTGACCAACATGGTGACCCTGTCTCTACTAAAAACACACAAAAAAAGTAGCTGGGCATGGTGACAGGCATCTGTAATCCCAGCTACTCAGGAGGCTGAAGCAGGAGAATTGCTTGAACATGAAAGCGGAAGTTGCAGTGAGCCAAGATCATGCCACTGCACTCCAGCCTGGGAAAAAGCATGAGACTGTCTCAAAAACAAAAACAAAAAAAAAACACACACACACACAATGAGAAACCACTTCACACCCAAAATCAAAAGTGTTGGTGAGGAAGTGGAGAAATTGGAACCCTCGTGCATTACTGGTGAATTGCGGAATTTAAAATAGTGAAGCTGCTGTGGAAAACAGTTTAGTGATTCTTCAAAAAGTCAAATATAGAATTACCAAAAAAAAAGAAAAAAAAAAGATTTAGCAATTCCACTCCTAGGAATATACCCAAAAGAACTGAAAGCAAGGACTCATACAGAAACTTTTACACCAATGTTCATAGCAGCATGATTCACAATAGCCTAAGGTGAAAACAAACCAAATGTCCATCAACAGATGTGTGCATAAACTAAGTGTGGCATAAACATACAATAAAATATTATCAGCCTTAAAAAAATGAAATCTGACACATGCTATGATACAGATGAACCTTAGAAACATTATGCAAGTGAAATAAGCACACACAAAAGGGCAAATATTGTGATTCTACTTAATGAGGTACCGAGAATAAATAAACTCATAGACACAGAAAGTAGGATAAAGGTTACTGAGGTCTGTGGGAAAGAAAGTGAGGGTCATTGTTTAATGGGTACAGAGTTTCTTTTTGAGGTAACCACTAAGTTTTAGAAATAGAGGTGATGGTAACAACCATGTAAATACTCTAGTTCCCATCTATCTTCAGCTTTGCCTTCTGCAGTTTTAATTGCCCATGGTTTCAATTACCTGTCAACATCAGTCCAAAAATACTAAATGAGAAATTCCAGAAACAAACAATGCCTAAGTTTTAAATTGCGCACCGTTCTGAGTGACCTAATGAAGCTTGTGTCTTCCCACTCCGTCGTGCCTGGGATATGAATCATCCCTTTTTCCAGTATATCCAGGCTATAGATGCTACCTGTCCATGAGTCATTTAGCAGTTATCTAGGTTATCAGATCCACTGTCACAGTATGGCAGTGCTTATGTTCAAGCAACCCTTATTTTACTTAATAACGTCCCCAAAGCACAATAGTAGTGATGTTGGAAATTCAGATGTGCCAAAGAAAAGCTATGAAGCACTCCCTTTAAGTGAAAAGGTGAAAGTTCTTGACTTAATAAGAAAAAAAAAATCCTACGCTAATGTTGCTAAGATCTATGGTAAGAATGAATCTTCTATCTATGAAATTGTGAGGAAGGAAAAATAAATTCGTGCATACCATACAGTATCTAGGGTTTGGTGCTATCTGAAGTTTCTGGCTTACACTGAGGTTCTTGGAACGTATCCCCTAAGGATAAGGGGAAACTACTGTATACTTAATGCCACTAAATTGTAAATTTTATGTTATTATACATATTTCACCACACACACATGCAAAATCTTTCAAAAGTAGTAATGAAGATCTATGAGTCCCAAGAACATTGGAAACAAGTGTGGGTAGGTTAGCCATGAGAAAAGGTGGGTGAAGGTAAAACAGTGTCTCTTTAGGACTATTTTAAACAAATGAGCAAATAAATAGTTTACCTACTTCATAATTTGAATAAAGTGTACCTCTAAACATGTAGTATAGAGAGTACATTCCTTATCCCTACTATAATTTATTATCCATATATATCAGAAAAAATACGCATCCACGTTTGGCAGCAAAAGGCAGATAGCATGAAACAGAATGCATTTGGGATGATGGTTTATATTAGGAAATTATACTTTGAGTTATTTATTGGAAGAATGTAACACTAGTTAGCTTTCTTTAAAAATCACCATGGAAAAATCTAAAACTGATTGAGCACATTAATCAGAAATGCTGTATTTATAATGAGCTCATCTTGGGAATTTGACACCAAGATCCATATATATGAAGCAATTTCTTCTGAAAACAATTTTGTATTAGAGGAAGTTTAACAATTTGAGGTGAACTATATTAGTATTCCTACAAAGGTAACTATAAAAATGCAAAATATTGTGAAGTATCCATGTCAGAGAATTCAAAAATCATACATCCATATGGTACTCAATAAAAAGCAATTAAATCAACCTCTTATTATCTGGCACTTAATTGACCACCATGGCTGCCTACTGTTGACATCAATTTGGTTTTATATTAACCCAAGGAAGACTGACATTAACTTCATGTTAATATCCCTTATGGAAAACTCACTAGATTTAAATTTGCTAAATTTATAGATTCTTGTGCAACATCCCTTTCTTTTTTCTGTTTACTATTTCTACCTATATTGATTTAGGTCCAGAATCTGAAAGCCTAAAATAAATTATGCCAGAAGAAAATGAACCTGATTCATTTTAATTGAAAAGGACTCAATTGTGTTTACACAGCTTTAAAATTCACCAGGATTAATATTATATAATGTGTAATTATTTTTAATGTAAGTCCACAGGGCCAAAGAAAATTATGGAAGCTGATAGATTTTACTGAACCCAACATATAAATATGAAGCATCTATTATTTATGGGAGTGTCTATCCTAATCTTTAATTCATACTTAAAACAACTCTAATGTAGAATGGCTAAATAATTAAGAAGTACTGAAATAGTTAAGAAGTACTATTATATATAAGAAGTACTTATATATAATATAAGAAGTATATTATATATATAAAAAATAAGCTATGAAGTTGGATTCTAATTCTCTAATAAATCTTGATATTCTGGAGAAAAAAATATTTCATCACTGGAAGGCTATAGTTATTAAAATTGTATCAATGGCATTTAGATAGAAATTTAACACTTGTTGCTTCTAGGTAGCACTATAATAGCAAATTTTTATTGAGGAAAAAGATTAATGAAATTTCAAAATCAAGGCATCTTTCTTTGTTCAGATAGCCAAAGCACACAAGAACAATTTTTGGCAATTGTTCATGTAGGTTAAGGTCTTTTTCCCTGTAATACTCTTTGCAATTACTCAGGCACTTTAGACAAAAGCCAGTTTTATGGTAAATAACAATAAACAGATGAAGTTCTTATTTGGTCTGTAAAATATCTGTGGTTAGTATGAGAATAAAATCTTAAGAACAAATCTAAGTTATAAGACATTCGGTTTTGGTATTAGTAAAGATTGTATGCCCTCCACATAGTTTATGATGTTTAGCATAAGCCAAATATAATTTAAAACTTCAATAGCTTTTCTATCCAAATAATATGTTTCACTTAAATCTTACTAATTAAAATGAAAAATATTGGGAGGATTTTAGAGTGAGATTTTAAAGAAAATTAGCAAAGGATATACTATCATAAATAGGATGATTTGACCTTTTACAAAGCAAAGTAAATTCATCCTTACTCAGGGCTGTTTCATGATGTTATGACCAATGTTTGGTTTTGCTTGTTTCTGTGCCGTGTGAGTTTAATGTTTGTTTTCTATCTATCATGATTTTCCTCTCCTCCCCATGATAAACTCTGCCTTCTACTAATAGTATCAGTTACAAAAAATTAACCAAGCTAACTTTTATGGCTTGTTTTCTCAGACTACAAACATGATGAGATGAGATGCACCCCTGACCCCCTAACCTATCAAGTCATGCAGTGATTGGATTCCATGGAAAGGTCTGTTGTCCAGGCATTGTTAAAAACTAAATGAAGAACTATCTTTAACCTACTATGACAGGACAGTGAGTTACTCTATTGCTTAGAATCTGGGCTAACATTTAGTGTTTGTTTCTTTGTAAAGATGATTTTTGTAGTTATCTAAAATGAAAGACTTATTTTATAAGTTTGTATAAGGTTATATTTTCTTTTTATTTTTGGTACTTTTTTTCCCCAAAGCTCCTTTTAAAGAAAAAGTAAATGAGCCTTTCTATATTCAAATAAAAAAAGTCTTAGACATCTGGGTTGGGAGTTTATGAGGAGAGAAGGAAGAAAGCAGATAAAATATCCCAACTCCAAAAATCATCTAAGCTGAAATAGAAAGTAGCAGCAGGAAATTAATACCACGTTGTAAAAGAAAGAATGCTAATATAATGAAGCAAATGTCGAGCCAGATGCTACATATGAATGAGCCACTCTAGGACATGCTGGCCACTTTTATAATATCCAAGTGGCCAACCAGAGTTGATGCCCTTCCCAAAGTTCCAGCCTGGAACTCATAGTCGCTGACTTATTCATAGGATTTGGCTACGAAATTTTTAGATTTGCAAAAAAATCACCATATTTCTGTTTTGTATTGGTGGAAAGTGATGAAATTGTTTTCCAATCAATACATTTTCCATGAAAAGCTGAGTTTTGTCATTTTTATGTTACTACCTTTGCTCATGTACAAAAAATACTCTTCTACAGCCCACAAAAATATATAATGTTATTTCAATATGCTTTCAAGTCAAAAACTTAGTTATAACATTTGGAAAAATGAATAATGTTAACATTTATCTGTTTAACCATCCAGACACAGTACTAACTGAAGAAAAAATATCAAAATTCACCTTAGATACCTGCTAATCAGCTAATTTTCCATAGTCATAATTGCCTCCTCAGAATATCTGGTAAATATACTCTAACTTTGGAAGCAAAGTTAAAACAGGATATCATAAAAAGAGGATAACAAAAGAGAAGCTAAATAGTTTTTTAGGAAACTTCATTGTTGGAATGGAACGTGATAATGTGGATTTAAAATGCTTCATAGGAAGTTTGCCAGTCCAACTAGACTGAAAAGTAACCTGGTAATTTCAACAACGTTGTTAAATCATTAGCAAATTCTTTTGGGGAACTTTGTGATATGAACTATAAGAGAAGCCTGATAAGAATTCACTGGCATGCAAAGCATATGTATACTTGTATGCCATCAACCCAAGCTTATTAAGATCTACCATCAAATGTTTTCAAATATGCTACACAAACCCCTTGAGGGCTGAGACTAAGGCCAGATGTGGTATTTTATCTGCATTCTACCCCTTCTCTGCCCTCTTGCTGACATTTCACTGAGTACAGTACACAGTTGAGCACACAGTAAGTACCAAATAATTGTTGACAAGCAGACAGCATACATAATATGTATCTGCTATTGTTGACTAGCAGACAGCAAACATAATATGGTATCATGAAATGCAGATATCTTAAGTATTAAAAATGTACATCAAATGAAGATAAAAGAGGACAAGGCAAGAAAATAAAAGAAATTTTATTTCCTCACAATTTTTCTGGTATGGATTGTGCAAAACTATTTCAGGCAGAATATATATAGAACACAACTTTTCTAAGCATGGAAATGACAGAGACTTTCACATTTATCAAAGTACTAAGGATAGATTACCAAAGAAAACTGATCTCTTTTTTTCACCACCTCATCAAATATAGCACTTAAAATTACATAGAAAAGCACTGTGGTAGTACGTTCCTCCAAAATGTTGCCAGTTAGAAAATGCATTTTATCATTGGATGGACCTTCATTTCCCCAGCCTTCCTACATCACTAAAAAATATTTGTGTAGTTTTATGCATCTTTCCAGAGAGCAATGAATAGGTTAGATCAGCAACTGACTTTATCCACTGACATACAGACTGACTGATGGAAACTTCTAACAGGCTTAAGACTTTAAGCCTTGGTACAAGGGTTTACATCAGACCCTTCACAGAAGAGGAAAGCCATTTAATCCTAGAAACTTGCTAAACTTCCTACAAGACAAACCAGAGATTTTGTGTATTCTATTAATTCAAAAAAAAAACAGTGAAAATAAGACTTTTATATCTCTGCGCATTCACATTTCTTTATTCCTGTATAATTGTGTATTGGGAAAAACAAGTTCTTATGATTAGTGGCAAGTGGCACCCCAATTTTTCTCTGTACCGTGTGTCATCCCTCTTTTCCTATTAAGCGCTACTGCTTGCTTGGGTTCCTGACAATAATTGCTACCACTTCATTCTGAAATGATGTGCAGGTTAAAAAAAATATAGGAGAGAGAGAGAATGCCAAAGCACACTATGCTTATCCTCCCAAAAGCAAATTCAAAGGTTTCATAATTTAAATAGAAAGTGACTGGAATTCACATTTGCCCGCGTGCTTTTTATTAAATTATTGAAAGCTTTTTTTAACTCTGCATTTTAAAATTCTCAACTCCAATGTATATTTTCTATGATTTTGTACTGAATGAGAAAAACCTCCCAAAAGATTGCATACCAAAGAGCAGAGCCGCCTGTTCTGAGATTGATGTATGTTTATGAGGAAATCCAGCATGCAATTTTCAAAACCTGCAGGTTCATTGTAAGTTAAACCATGTGGCCTCCATTCGAATCATTCCTTCCTTTCAAAATCACTCATCAGAGCTCCCAATTGCCCTCTTCTCTTGAATCGTTCTGCACTGATTTGCTCCCGCCAGACCCCAGCTCTGTGTCTGTGTATCCCATTGCGGAACGTGGAGCTCAGTAACCAGGCATCTTGGTGTCTCCTTCTGTCACTGAGGCACCACTACAATGCTTTTCAAACATTGTACTTCATTTGTTTGTCTGTTACTCTTTTTCATTTTGGATAAGAAATGTATAAACAAAAAAGAAAACTTTCCTCAAAAAATATAGAACATATTTTATATGTGCATCAAAATAGCCTGAAAGGGCTTGGTAAAAATACAGATTCCTGGCTTCTTTCTAGAACTTTTGAATCAGAACATTGTTGGGTATATATGGGATTTGCATTAAATTTGAGAACTTATAAGGACCCTAATAATCATTTCTATCACTTCTATCTCATTACAAGAATAAGGAAAATACTCTTCAAAGGACAGAGTTCTTTCCATAACAAAGCATACGCATTTTGAAAGCATGCCTTGCAGAATAAATTAAGACCAAAAATATCCAGCATCTAGCAGATGTCAAAATTTTAAGTGCTATGCAATATGTCACCAGTAAATTTTTAAAAGAAAAAAATTTTAATAGAAAATGCAGCTATTGCTTTATTACTCGATTTTTAAAGTCACGGAGTGTCGTAGAAAGTCTTAGGGTCATGTGTCATCATTTAAAAATGATTTCAGACCTTAATTCTCAGACAAAAGAAATAAAATGTAACTTCAAGAATTTGCAAAAAATATTTTTGTGGGTTCATTTTCACTGTGCCTAGGCCTCATTCATCTCGGGATTTGCACAGGAGCCTGCTGGAGGGTCTCAGAGTTATTAAGTGACAATCTAAAAGCCAATTTAGGATTAGCCAGTTTAACCAGGTGAGCAGAGGGTTTCACTTGGGAAAGCAAGCAGCAGCCCTGCCGGAAGTCAGGATTGGAAGGCTGAAGGGCTTTACTAGCGCCCTGAGAGCCGCGCGTTCCGAATGGGTGCGGATGGGGGACCTGGCTCATCAGGGAGGGATTAACGCGGCTCGGGCAATCCTGCGCTAAAGCCCGCTCCCCCCGCCGCCAGCAACGCCGCGGAGCCGCCGCACCAGCAACATAAATATTAGATGAGACTCTCCTGTGTATTAATTAGCACTTTCTAGGTGATCTTGTCATTGAATATTATGAGATAATCACTCCAAAATCATGTTGAAGGAGGGCGCACTTTCAGGTATCAGGGTTGCTAGGGTGCTCTGCCTTGCGCATTGTTTCTTAATCACCAGAATGTACTTGCTTTGTCCCTCCTGAAACTACAGTGTTTTCCTTGCAGTTGAAAAAGAGAAGGAAAGCTTATGATAAAATTCTCTGTGTTTTTATGGGAAGTGCTACTTCTCTGCGCTAAAGACTGTATTGTCAATGTGAGCCTTTCCCTTCAATGATTTGGTGTCACAGGACTGCCTTCAGTGAGGCCGAGTCCCCATTTCCAGAGCATGTTTAAGAGTGTAAGGGTGTGATTCAAAGAAAGGCATTTGTTCAGGAAATGCAAGTGCAAAGGATTTTCCTTCAAGACACAGAAATGCGATTTTTGAAAGGGTGTGCTGTGCCTATGAAAAGTTGTCTAATTCATTGGACATTTCTGTAGATAATACCAATCTCAGAAAAGAGAGACAGACATGAAACAGCAGAAGCAAAGCAAATGGGCAGGAAAGGGAAAGAATTTCTAAAAGTGGTAGTAAGCAGAACAAACAGCTGTTTGCTACAGGAGCAAGGCTGTGGAATCTAGAGTCTCCCTACTCTATAGCGTGGTTCAGGGATCAGCATTGCCAGTATCAGTTGTGAGACATGCAGAATCTTGGGCCTCACCCTAGACCTGTGGAATCAGAATCTGCACTGGAACTAGAACCCGCTTTGGTTCACATGCGCATTCAAGTTTGAGATGCTTTGCTCTAGAAAACTATGGCAGGTAAGCATGACAAGTGGAAATATGGTCCATGAGGTCCAGAACACATTTCAGATTTTATTTTGCAAATGAAGGAGGATAAAGGAAGATTTTGAGCATGGGAATTATTTTAGAAAAAGTAATAAGACAGTTTGTATTAAAAATTGGAAATATATGTATACCTACATGCATATATACATAGATGTATATGAAACTTATAAAAACAAAATCCTTGTGAGTATTTATTTGAGCACCATGTAGGATAAATGACTTAAGGAGTATTTAAATGTCATACTTTATCCTGTATTTTCCTTTACACTAATTCCTAAAGAGTATCAGGGCTCCTTGCTCCTAGTTTCAAGGACGCTAAATGGTCCCAGGAGTGTAATCGTGAGGCAACATTTTGTCAAATAGCAGTTAACAGAGACTCACTTCCCAGAAGATGAGGTCACAAAGCACACGTCAACCTAGTCATCACCTAAAAGAACCTAATGCAGAATTGTAAAAGCATCATGAAAAGCATGAAAATGGAAAGATGGAAAATTTGGAGAGAATTTGCGTGTGCGTGCACTCGAGAGAGAAGTGGGGTGGATGCAGGGGTCGGGGGAGAGAAGATTTTGACAGAAAAAGAGGACTAGAAAACATACAGGTGTCCTCTAATGTCCACATTCTGCCTCTCCAAATTCAGGAACTTATGAATTCTGATTGCCAGGTGTACAGGACACTGGCTACGAGAGAGGCAGTGGTGGAGGGAATATAACCAGTCCCATTTACCTAGAAGTCCATTCATAGAGAATCGACTGAATATCAAGAAAAGAATTTGCCCCGCCATCCTTCCCATTAAGGAATCACAATGATGATTTAGCGTTAGAGCACTGTGTTCCATAACTCAAGAGTGTGAGGTTGCGGAGCTCTTAATCTGTAGCTTCTTTTATTCTGTGACTTTAGTCCTTTCCCCATGAGTATATCCTGCCTTGATTGGAGGCATGCACAGCAGGGGCTGGGTTGCCTGGTACAATGCAAATCTACTGTGAAATTGTGGATAGAGCTGGTGTGGGAAACCTCCACAGGAGACTGTCATCTCTGACAATCATACTTCATTCAGACACTGAGTAAAACAATTTTCCTTCCTCAACTAACATGTCATACTAATTCCCTCAATCTGACTGCCTTATGTGCAAGGCTGGTACCATCTGTAGACCATAATAGCAGCTAATCTAACTAGAAACACATACCCAGTGACAATTATCTCCCTAAGTCTGCAATCACAGTTCTGTAAGTTTCACTTTAACAGTCATTCCTGTAGAGGCCTCCTGAAGACATATTTCTTTGGTGGTCATATATATATTGCAAGAAACAGTTTAGAAGGCCACTTATGAAGCTGTGTCACCTGAGCAAGCAACTTAATACCACTTTAGGCCTCCGTTCCCTCATGTGTAATATGGAGATAAATGGGGTGTGTGTGTGTGTGTGTGTGTGTGTGGTATGCACATGTATACACACTACTTGGCACATTTATTTACTGTGCTATGTAAATATTAGTGGTTATTAGTGTCAAATGCAGGTTCCTCAAATATTACTAACACAATCTGTTGATAAGAGAAAGTTGAGTTTATTGCTTACTGTGGTAAGGGAGAGCCCAACTTCGACAGAGCTTTGGCAATGTCTTGAAGGGGGAAAGAAGCAAGAACAGCATGTGTTGAAAATTGGATATTTGATTTATGGTGGGCTTTCAGTTAGGAAGCTTGATTAATTCTGAGTAAAGATTAGGATACAATTGTTTAGCCCTATCTTTTGATGCTTTCCTTTGAGGATTTGGTGGGTCTTTAGGGAAGTTCTTGTAATGAACAACCGAACCATTTGCCTGGCCAAGAGACTCATGAAATAGCAGTCATATACATGCAGACAGCAAATTGTAGGGGGAAAGGGGTAGAAGGGGGTGGTAGGTAGTTTCAGTCCCCAGTGTCAATTCATGTATATAGGAAAATGGTTGATTGTTATTATTGTTTACTCTTCTCTGTATTATTATTATTATTACATTTCTCTGAATAGGAACAAGTTAGCTTGCTATCACATTAGCCCAATTATTAGGATAATCTATTTTAACCCACAGTTACCCAGGAGACATCAAAACCTTGAGAAATCAGACAAAGTGAAGGAAGTTCCTTGGAAGTTAGATCTGAGTAAAGCAGTAATGGGGAGGACTCCAGGAGGTGCTAGAAGGGAGTAGAATAGACATAATGAGTAGTGACATAATATCAGAAACAGACTGTGCCTACAGCATAAGCGATTTTTCTGATGTCAGGCTGCTCTTTTCCAACATTTAATCATTTACTCTGGGTTTGATTCTTAGATGGCAAGTGTCAACCATTGTATTTGTTTTGTTTTCTTTTTCCTTTTATACCCTTAGGGTACCTGAAAGAACCTTTGAGATGGCATTGCACACAGTTTTATTAGAAACAAGAGTGATATTTGCAGATAGATACATGTGGATTCATTAAAGGGAGGCAATGTGGCTACAAATAAAGGGTTGTTAAGAGCTTTGGGCCCAAATGAATCTGCCTTAAGATCCTGTTTCTACTACGTACTAGCTATGTGGCCTTGTACATGTTATTTAACCTCTCCAAACTACTCTTTCCTACAGTAAAGCTACAATATCTACTTGGAGTGATATTTTTTAAGAAAGAGGTAATTAAGCAAATAATTCCCAATAAATTATATATAATAGACAGTACAGATACGCTTTGAATTTTGTAGTTTATATGTGTGCATTCTTGCTTATGACATATGATCCTATCACTATATAGTAGTTGTGATTTACCTACTATATAAATACAAATTAGTAACTGCAATACATGTGACATTTCTGCTTTAAATAAAGCTGAAATCTTCTTAATCATTATGCAAACAGTCAAAATTACAGAATTTAGTTTTAGTTGTCAATCACAACAGATGAAGTATTGTACCTAAAATGTCACCTATCTAGCAAGCAATTTTATTTTTATCTATATTCAGGGCATTCAATTTTAACATCAGTTATTGTCATTCATGTCCTCAGATAATAATATCTGCTTTTGAACTTTCTCCATTTTTATAACATAAATTCTAGATGATCAAAAAAATCTATAATTATCCCAATAGTTTTTTTAAATCACTAGTTAACCTATAGCATTTTTTTAAATTTGGGCCTATAATCAGTTTATTGAGGCAAATAAATATAATATTCACATGTTCAACTAGACAAATTGATAAAAGAGGTTTCAAAGGATCTAATAATAAAATCAACAAAAGGCAAACTACAATTCTAATGTCAGATTTTACTTTTCTTTTTGTGTATCTTTACGTTAGTTAACAACATAAATATATCATCTCTGATTTTTGAGATAAAATTTTTCCCAAAGAGTTTTACAATGAAAAGAAATGAAACTGCATCATAAAAAAATGGCATTGTGAACATGTATAATACATTTCCTTTTAATACTATGTTGAAACTGAATAGCAACAGCATCCTTTCTCCTCTTCCTTTTCATGAAAGGTACCCAAAGAGCCCATACATCCAGGTAGCCTTCAGATATGGTGTCAAACAGCCCCTTTTTCTGTCACTCCCTGATGATGAATGAGGTTCTTTTCCTAAACAAATAAGCACTTCAGAGGGTTACCCTTGACAGGGTTGTTAATCCAGACAGCCTCTCTTATCAGTACAGAATTCAAGGGCTGAAGTTTTACAGGATCCCTGCACTGCCTGGCTCTTGGGCAGTTGTCTGGAAACTGCTTGGCCCATGGCAACGCTTTTCAAAGAACAGCCAGGCTATGCCCTTCTCTTCAATGTTCCCTCTGCTTTCAAATCTGGTCTTCAGCTAACTAGAGATTTTTCTCTTAGAAAATTCAAATCATTTGTATTGTACTTTCAGCAATGAGTTAATATGCTACATTAACATAGTTTTTATTTTCTCTCCAGAAAAGCAATTTGCCAACATAAATTTTAGTTCATGCAAAGAAATAAAAGGGAGGTTAAATGACTGGTTCTGATCTTACAAGAGCAGAGCTAGAAACACTGCCTCTGGATTCCAGTATATGAAACACAGGGACAATCTCCACCTCTTATCAGCAGTGTATAAATTTTTTAACCAAAACTCTCTGGCTCTTGACTTTGCTTCCATTGACATCTAGACTAAAGGTCAGCATTTCTTTTGCATTCCAGAAGCTATTAGGAATCAGCTTCAACTTATATTCCTGTTAAGAATTGATGAGTTGACCTTAATTCAATGAGGTTCAACAAATCTCTCAGTAGCATCTCTCAAAATATTGTGTCCAGATGATGGTTGAGAAATCAGAAATTCTTTAGCTAGCATATACTCTCTTGATATTTTAAAAGTATCAACGTATATTTTTTCAATAAAAGTAACAAGTTTAAAATCAGTTTTGCCTCTGAAAATGATTAGCAGGAACTTCAGACCTCCTTCTAACCTCCTCTGTTCTTCCATTCCCACAGTGTAGCACCACAAGAGATATGTAGAAATAAAGAATGCATATTTTTTTATCCCGGTCACAAGCCTAATGTCTTAAAAGGTTTAGAAAAGGCATGTGACAAAGCCTGTTTGAAAAGCAGAGCATAATGTGTTTTCAGTTTATAAATTATAAAATATTCAACAGCACAGGCTAACACCAAGGAATTGGTTACTGCTAGATATCTGGAACTGTTTTTTCTTTCCTTCTCTCATGTGCTTGCTCTTTTTTCCCATTAAGAACAAAATGCAAATCAAATGCAAATGAGATGCCTTAGGCTTAGAAGACAAGAAGGAAAACAACTGTGCCAAAGAGAAAAAGAACACAGGGGGTCCCTATGAATGGTTATTAAACAAATTATCTGCTCACAGAATTTTTTGATTGACCCAGTCCTAGGATGTTATTTCTGATTTGCATGTTGCTTGAATTTTAAAACAACCCTATAGTTCAGCAAAACAGACTCACTATTTCATATTTTGTTTTCAATGTTCTGCACAAAGAGCCTAAAAATTATACTCTATAAATATGGCTGCTCAGGGCAGAAAGTTTGCTACGTTGTTTCAATTCAGAATTGCTGCCTAGTAGATATTACACAAAATGGGAAGTCAATTCTCAACATCCTGTTAGATATGCGATTGTATTTGTTAAGAAGGAAGAGCTGAAATATGCTCTGTCTCAATAACAATGAGCTTCTTAATACTCAGAATCTGTGTGGGTAGCAATTTAAGCCTTAAATTGGGATCTACAAGTCTTTCTGAAGATTCAATATAAATGAAAGATTAAGTGGGTCATATTAAAATGGTTCAAGAAGATTCTAGAGTATCAGGAGAGCCCAGGGTTTTCAGGTTTGATTTAAATCTATATGCATGCACATCAGATCTAATTGAAAAGGTTAAAATCTTAGGATCACTTATTTTGTAATACTCACAGGGGTTTTAGATTCTCATAAAACCCTTTCATTAAATTCCATGGCCTATTTTTAAAGTTATTTGTATTTATTTTCAACTAGTAAAGAGGAAAACATTATTTAGAAACTCAGCATAACTACATCAGTAAAATAGTACAAGCAGAGAGTTAAGCATGAGCCCCAAACTCTCCCAACACCTAACTCCTCATACTTTTATTGTGTGGCTATGACATACTTTTCTTAGATCATCTTCAATCTTTATGGCAAAGAAAAAGGCTTCCTTCAAGTCACAAGACTATAGAAGTATATAGTTATGATAGTTATATGTATCCAAAAGACTGTTAAACAACTTTTTGGCATAACTTGAGACTCAATTCAAAACATCACCATTGTTATAACTCAGTCTATTATTACAGTCCTTTATTTTATGATAATTTCAACAAATAGATGAAAATATCTCATTTCTAATGTCAACTATAGAAACTATAATACAGCAACTCTATTAAAATAAGAAAAGACTTCATGTCTAGATAGATTTTAATCAATGCCTCTTATATCAAGATGGATAAAGTACTGCTGAAAGATACATGTAAGTGTACCTAAGCTAAGTATACAATGGAGACTCTTAAAAGAGATTATGTAAATGAGGGCCAATTCAAAAGTAAAGTTTAAAAAAAATGAATTAGAGAATTTATCCAGTTTCAGATGCCTTGGTTTCAGACAGTATGACAAGAACTTGATTTTCCTTTCTTAAAAAAAACGAAGTAAAGAAAAAACCATTATTTTCAGAAATAGGTGACTTTAAAAATTGAAGTTGAGAAGATGAAAATTAAAAAGAACAAATTTTGATAAGTAACAGAAAAGATTTCAGAGTAATACTTAAAACAAATCAGTGTTATATTAGAGGTAGCTGCAAGTTTAGAGCCTTGAAGTTTTGTTATGGAAATCCAAAGGATATCATATAAGACACTTTCTTTGTTCTGAAATATCTTTATTTAATCTTAGCTCTATTCTTTTGGTTTAAATTAAATCTTATGAAGAAGTCTTCTTTCTTAAAGAATTGTTGTGCCTATCTTAAGTGAGTTTACATACAGTCCCTTATCTTTGAGTAAATAAGTGATTGGATAGTTATATTGCTATCGGTAACATTTTTCTGAGGAATTAACTAAAGAGAAAGCATTGAGTTTGAGGCATCCAGATAGAGGAGAATCTTTCAGACCTTTTGGAGAGGTATATTCCTTTCCAATATCAGGCAGATGCACATCTCAATTGCTCTTTATTTTTATCTATCTATTGACTAGGATATTCTGCTAAGGAACAAACAACAGCATCCATGGGATGAGCTATCAAGTGTGAGAGAGCTATCAAGTGTGATGTAACTGCCCCATAGAGATTGTGTTCCTTGTTTTCCTCCCTCTGTTATCTTGCTAGACAAATCTCTTCAGCCTTTAATTGCAGCCTTGACTGTGCAATAATTAACAGTTTGGGTTGGGAGGAGGGTCTTTTTTTTTTTAAGATATATATAATAGATTAGATGTTTTCAATATAAACCTCAATTTAAGCATGGAATTGATTTGTAAAATAGAAATTGCTTGGCAACTGTCATTTAATGGTCCACTTTTCCTGCGAGAAAGCATTTTGATTGATTGGGTATTTTTTAAGATGAATATATGAAGTTGATTTAATTGATATCAGAGCCATTCTTAACATTTATCATTAGATACAATATGTATAGCTGACTAGCATGTTATCTTTTTTTTGGAAAAGGTCAACTAAAGTGAAAGAGATTCTTCCTTTGTAGCTCCTCCCAAAATAAACATTAACTCCTGCATCTGAGAGAGCAGGCTGAGGGAAGGCTCCAGAACAATATTGTCTATGTGAGGTGGAAACTGCTACTGAGGAGCTCAGATTCAAAAATTCCCTGTAATCATGAGGCCAAATAAGCTCCAGCTGAGATAATTCACTGGGCTTTCATGAGTTACAGTCACATCTCCTGAGAGTTTATTACAGGACAAAGTAAAGTAGATTAATTAAACCAAAATGTGCTACAAAAAAAAAATGAGAAACTGACTTCATAATATAGCACTGTCAGACCTAGTTTAAATAGATGTTAAAAAGAAACTAATCATTAGAAAACAATTTAGCAAGAGTCAGGTAAAAAAATAATTGTTTTCTTAATGAACCCCTTTTAATAGTGTGATGATAATATTGTACAATGTTTACTCCAAATGAATATATGATATAGTGAAGATTTATTTTCTCAAGGAGATCCTACAAAGTGATATCTCTTCATGTGTATGAAAATTTTACACTTGATTCAGTGTTTTTATATTATGAAATAAATTATTTTAATATATAATTTATATTACTAAACTTATTCTAAGTATAAGCACATATGTGTGCATATTCATGTGTGTATATATGTTGATCAAGTTTAGAGAACCATAACTTTGGTTATTCATAGAAAAAAAATGTCAGAATAAATTTTTTTCTTCACCCTACCTTAAACATGAGTTATGATGTGGAACTGATCTCAACTTTCCATCAAATTTAGCCTTGATCAAATAAATCCCCTGGACCTAAAGCAAGGTAGGTCAGATGTTCGGTGAGACAAGAGCCTAAGACAGCTCTCCTTGCTGGCCGCCATGACCACCATTTGAACCACCATTGGTTTCCAGGACCATGTGAACCTATGGTTTTAGAAATTAAAAGTGCCATGTACTGAAAACATAAGATATACATCTCCACAATTTATTAGGCATGTTCTCAGGGCTGGCTACCATTTTGTGGGACCCAGTGCAAAATCAAAATTCAGGGCAACAGCAGAGCATTAAACTAAGTGCTTGGCACTTTGGCTTGGAGCCCTGTGTGACTACACTGGTCACACCACACACCTGGGAAGCTAGCTCCGGGCGTGCTGCAACTTCTAAGTAAGGAATAGCTCAATTTGCTACAAGTAACTTCTCCATGCATCACATTATTCTCTATTAAAAAGTCTCAAAGCACAAATATACATCTGCATTGATTGGATATTCATTCAGAGACCTTTTACCTGGCCTCTGTTTGTGTGGCTTCATATCTTTATGACATGGAATGAACAGCTTGGCGCCACGTTGCTGTTATCCATTAACCATTCCTGTTTTCCTAATCATCTTTGACTCCATCTTTCTCTGTCCTATCTGTTATTGTCTTCGGAAAAGAGATGTGAGGTTTCCTTAGCCTGTTCTGGTTTACGTGACATGATTTGTGTATCTGCCTACAAGAGTTTCTCAAATGAACCCTGTGCATTATCTTCTTTCCCCAACCCCTCCTCCTCTGAAGAAAGAAGAAAAAGGTCATACATCTGTAAAATGACAGCACTTATGAAAAATGAGAGTTTGGCCCACATGGCTCTCATCAGACACAGACTCATCTGCTGTGCCACAGACTCTGCTCATTTCCTTCAGAATCAGACTGCAGTTAAAAACAGGAAACACCTAATAAATTGCCCATACTATCAAATTAACAAAGCATAAGGAAACTTTCCTAGGTAATCAATGAGTATTGCTTGCTTAAAAAATGCAAGTGTCAAACATAAGGAACCTAAAAATATGACCGCACTTTTCTCTATAAAACTACTTTAAGATGTCTACCTAATCTAAATTTAGAAATAAAAAAGCCTACACAGAGATATGGAAAATTGGACTTTCTACCTAATTTTCTGTCATGAAAGGACTGAAAGCATTTCAAAAGCAGTATGACATTTTATCATATAATCATTACTCTGGGATATTTAGGCACACACGTTTTTAAAAAACAGGATAATATGCAATAATCATACAAGTGTCAGGATTGTCAAGGTAGCCCCTTGTGTGTGAAATTCATCAGTCCCATTTTGTAATGAGAAAAAAGTCTCAATATTATAAAAAGATTTTGTCATAACAATATCTAACTGCCAAAGCTGGGTGTTTTCATTATTCTTGCCTAGAGTGAAATCAGTAATAAACCATAAAGCCAGAGGAAATTTTCTTGAGCTATATTTTGGATTAGAAAAACGCAAGCGAATTTAAATTTCGGGGAAAATTATGCTTATGCAAGTATAACCCTTCCCACTCCTCTACTAAAAAATTTTGTCTCCATGAAAAAAATACATATGAAGGTCTGAAAATACTTTTTGCCCTAATTTCCTACAAAGCTTTTGAAAATCTAATCATTCTAATGCATATGTGTTCTAGGTTCCATTCTTATCCTTAAAACAAACTTCTAGGAAAATGTCAAGAAAATAACTTTTTCAGAAATAACAAAAAGAATATCCCTTAAATTCCTAAGTTTGAACACACTTCTTAGGAAAACCACCTTTATTTCAAGACAGAATTCAACTGCTCTGTCCCTCAGAAGGAACACAAAATGTTTCTACCACTACTCAAAGACATTTTGCTATTCAAATCAAGAGTACCCATCACCAAGAGAGTATTTACAGGATAGAGAGAAAGTATCCTGTGCATGAGTGACCCCTTCAGGTGCTATACTGAAAAGACTATTCTATGCACAGAGTGGGGAGGGTCTCTGCGACGCAATACAAAGTGCTAAGAATTTTCAGGGAAAAAAAAAAATTAACATAGTAATTTATTCCAAAGTTCCCTAAAAGTAATTATTTTTACAATCAAGAAAATGCTTCTTCAACTAATGCATTTCATATGCTATTCACATATATTAAACAAGAAACTTTTTGAATGCTACCTGCAAGAAATAATGATAGCCAGAATAAAAATGTCAGGTTCTATTTCAAATAATTCATACTTTGACCGTGTAAGAATAGTAGAATTTATCAAATCATGTATCTGGATTTTTTTTCCCAGAAAATATGGCTACTACAACAATGAGAGATATAATAAAGTATAATTCCTGCACTTTAGAAGTATGGGATAAATTACAAACTGCATGAAAAAATCACTAAAATAATTTCATAATTAAGCTAGACTTGTCAAGGAAGTCAAAACTTCATAATCTTCATAGTCTCACATAAAATGTCTGAAGCTACCCGAACAGTGGGCTGGCAGGGAAAAACAAGTACAGTCATCCCTCAGTATAGCCAGGGAATTGGTTCCAGGACCTCCACATATACCAAAATCAGCACATAGCCAAGTCCCACAGTAGTACCTGTGGAACCCGCAGATGCAGAGTCAGACCTCCATATCCTGCAAACTGTACATTTGGTCAGTGTTTGGTTGAAAAAAATCTGCATACAAGTAGACCCATGCAGTTCAAACCCATGTTGCTCATGGGTCAACTGTATTTATAACATGGATAATTTTGTCTCTGTGAAAACTAAAATGACATTAGAGTAGGACTCAAGCAGAATTAACAAGAATCCAACCAAGTGCCTAAGCAGGAGATGGTGAACTGCCCAACTCAAGTTGTTACGCTATGTGCGTTGCTTTCTATGAGGTGGGGCCATAATGATGTGAATCTGGAGAGCGGTGTAACACCTGTCTATAGTACAGTAGAATCCTGGACCTGGTGTGGCAGTGGAAGATGGGATGAGGGAATGCCTCAGCCAGAGTGGTGGTGGTGGTTAAATATAGGATTCAACTTCCCAGAAATGGAAGAGAAAATGAGGGTATGACTCAAATCAGCCTGATGTTGAGGGCA